>NC_000021.9:10487738-10651149 GCF_000001405.40 Homo sapiens
AATAGGTACCTATTTAGGTTATCTGTCTCTCCTTGCATAAATTTGCATCTTTCAAGAAATTTGTTCATTTTGTCTATCTTGACAAATTAAAGGAATGGAGTTGATCATAATGTTTCTTATTATTTTAATACCTGTAGAATCTGTAGTGATTTCACCTTCCTCATTCTTGATACTAATAATTTGTATCTTGTCTTATATTTTTCCTGATCAGTCTGGCTAGAGATTTATCAATCTTATTGATCTTCTTGAGTCAGCCTTTGTTTTCATGGACTTTTCTCTATTTTCTTTCCCCTTTCTGTTTTATTGATTTATATTCTCATCTTTATTTTTTCCTATCTTCTCACTTTGAGTTTAATTTGATCTTCTTTTTTTGTTTACTCTTACGTGTCCCTGCTTGGAAGGGACACTTGTGAAGTTTAGGTCAGAGCTTTCTGTTCTCCTTGGCTTATATCTGTGGTCTAGGAAAATGATATTTCTATCACCTTCTGGATAAATCACACTATTATCTATGCAGGCAACAATAGCACATATTTTCTCTACCTTTGCCCTCAAGTTAGGTTTTATTTTTCTAGCAGTCTAAAGGTCATGAAATAAATTATAAAATAAAAACAGTGGGTCTTCAAGCTAGATGATACTGTTTTCTTTCTTGCATGGACAATTATTTTAAAATATTTTGGTTTTTCTGCACTTATTATTTAAATATGACTCCCCACCCCCACTTGAATCTAGGGACATTGTAGTTTTCTACTGCAGACTTTATTTCTGGTTTATACTGGGAATATATTTTTTATCGTTTTCAGTGAAAGCATTCACTGGTTAAATTTCCTTTTAAAAATAATAATGGATCTTTACAATTTCTTTGAGCTGCTCAGTGTGTATAATGTGTTGAATTTTCTGTAAGTGGTTGGGAGGTAGAAATAGATACTTTATCTCTATTTTAGCCATTTCCATAATTATATATCTCAATAGTCTTGTCAATGCATCATTAGTCCTATGACTGAATTAATGATTACTTTTAGTAGTCACTTAATTTCTTACTGATGATGATGATTCTACTTCTGTGAATCATCTTGGATGATTCTCTAAAATCTTAGAAAGCTAATTTTGTTAATGCTATGCATATAACACATCAATACATTTTCTCTATTAAAAGAATTAAAGCGTTATAGGTAGATCAGAATTTACCATTACTAACTCCTCAGTCCTCCTTATTTCCCTGTTACCAGTTTGGTATATTTATATATTAGGTTGATCCATATGAAATTGCCAATATTATTTCTGAACTGATGAAAAGCAGCAATTTCTTATGAGTCAACCTATTATATGTGCCCATAGACTACATATAATGACGTTGCATGTTTTTATATTATAGTGCTATACCTCAAATACTGTTCTGCAATTTATTTTTTCACTCAACAGTGTCTTTTTGATAATTTCTTTCATGGCAGTCTATACAAGTTTCTACCTCCCTACTTTTAAAATGTTTCGTACTTTCCTAGTGTTTGGATTTGTCATTGCTTTACTTACTCCCTAATGATTAATATTGGCATTATTAACACTTGTAGTCATTAGGGTTCATATGACTATAAATTGCTCTTATAAAGCATTAGTACTATCCATTAAAACTGCTTTTAGGCTGGGCACGGTGGCTCATGCCTGTAATCCCAGCCCTTTGGGAGGCCGAGGTGGGCGGATCATGAGGTCAGGAGATCGAGACCATCCTGGCATCCTGGCCAACATGGTGAAACCCCATCTCTACTAAAAATACAAAAAATTAGCCGGGCATGGTGGCAGGCGCCTGTAGTCCCAGCTACTCGGGAGGCTGAGGCAGGAGAATGCCGTGAACCTGGGAGACAGAGCTTGCAGTGAGCCAAGATTGCACCATTGCACTCCAGCCTGGGTGACATAGGGAGAGACTGTCTCAAAAACAAACAAAAAAAAACCAAAAAAACTGCTTTTAAATGTATTTGTATTGAAAAATACCGAGATGTAGTCCTTCTATTTAGTTAACCAACCAAACTTCCTTCCTTTTTTTTTTTTTTTTTTTTGGGAGACAGGGTCTCGCTCTGTCACCCAGCCTGTAGTGGAGTGGCATAATCTTGGCTCACTGTAACCTCTGCCTCCTGGGTTCAAGTGATTCTCCTGCCTCAGCCTCCTGAGTAGCTGAGACTACAGGCGTGTGCCACCATGCTCGGCTGTTTTTTGTATTTTTGGTAGAGACAGGATTTCACCATGTTGCCCAGGCTGGTCTCGAACTCCTGAGCTCAAGCAATCCACCCACTTTAGCCTCCCAAAGTGCTAAGATTATAGGCATGAGCCACCACACCCAGCTGGTTAATCTTCTTTCAGTTGTTCCTCAAGAAAAGTAATTCAGTTGTGTTATGTTTTGACCTTGAACATAACCTGTTGTGTTTCAACTGTCTTTCCAGGCTTCGATTGTAAGCTTTTTAAAGAAAGAGGATTGTATTTTATGATTTTGGCAGTGCCCTCCTTGTCTTCTTCTACAACTTCTAGTTCAGAGCTTTATTTTGTTTCATAATCACTCTAGAAATTATTAACAAACCAGAGGGTACTTAGTTGATTTAATCAAATAGAACTAAGTCCAGACTGAACAATATTGGTTGATAATCATTTGGCTAATACTGAAATTTGGATGTTATTCAAAATAATATTCCAAAGCAGTGCTAATAGAAATATAATGAGAACCACATATGCAACTTAAAACTTCCTAGTAGCCACATTAATAAGTTACAATGAGCTGGGTGCAGTGGATCATTTGAGGTCAGGAGTTAAGAGACCAGCCTGACCAATATGGTGAAACCCCATCTCTACTAAAAATACAGAAATTAGCTGGGCATGGTGGTGGACAACTGTAATCCCAGCTACTTGGGAGGCTGAGGCAGGGAGAACAGCTTGAACCAGGAGGCAGAGGTTGCAATGAGCTGAGATCACGCTATTACACTCCAGCCTGGGCAACAAGAGTGAAACTCCTCTCGAAACAAAGGTTATAGTGAACAGGCAAAATTAATTTTAATGCCTTCCATTTTGACCGATATATCTAAAATATTACCATTTCAACATGTAATATGTAATTATGTGCTGTATTTTATGTTTGCAGGACATCTCAGTTCAGACTAACTACATTGCAGATCCCAAGTGTGTGTCATTAAAATAGTGATAGATTTGTGTGTGTACATACATATAATATTATCATTTATAGTTTCTTGATTAGAATTCTGCATAATCAAGTCTTACTAAGACAGGTTTATTATATTTTCTCATTACTTATTGGTCTATAGGAATTCTACCTCTAAAGAGAGAATTAGGTGAATAATAAAATGTCATGACTCCATTTTATAGTACTATCTTAGCATTAATATTTGGAATTGTTATTCTAGACCTTAGCAAAAATATATGTTTTGATTATGAATTTTCTGAAGCTTTCCAGTTAAGTGTAAAACAAGTGAAAAATATAACTTCGTATTTTGTGTATTTTGCTTTTTATAGGTGTCTACTGCAGATATTTCATCAAATAAGGATGATGAAGAAAACTCTATGCACACTACGGTTGTGTTGTTTTCTAGCAGTGACAAGTTCACTTTGAATCAGGTTTGAACTTGACAATTTACTGTCTTCCTCATTGAATTCCTCCTTGCACATTTCTGCTTTATCTCATCTACACAGAAGTGATCCAATATTTAGCTATAGAGCTATATTAGTTAAGAAGGTATTTTTAAAGTAAAATTTGTAGGTTTTTAGCTTAGTCTCCATTTAAAATATGTTCTGTTTTCTTAACTTCAGGATATGTGTGTAGTTTGTGGCAGTTTTGGCCAAGGAGCAGAAGGAAGACTACTTGCCTGTTCTCAGTGTGGTCAGTGTTACCATCCATACTGTGTCAGTATTAAGGTAAACATCCTTAAATTGAGTTAACAAATATGTACTGAATTTTTATTTGGTTTTAGTAGTAACATGAGCTCCCAGTTCTCACAATTAAGTATTATGATTATTAAACGTATGTGACAGTATTTAAGCACTTTAAATACTGCTTTTAAGGGTTTCCTATCTCAAGAAATTTGCTCCTCTATAAATCTTATATTGTACTAATATCCTGCTTTTGTCTTGAAAAAGTAAAACATAAAAATATATGCATTTAATTTAAAAGACAATTTATACTATTCACAAAGATTTTAGGTTTAGCTGATTCATTTTGTCTGTTGATTTAAAAAGCTGAGAACTGGAGTATTTAGTAAAAAATTATTAGCCTATTCTGTTCTTTACCGCATTCTCTCTCCTCTGTGCTCACTCATATACAAAATGACATTTTCTCCTTATAGCCAAAAGAAACAAAACAAGTGTCATATTTAATGCAATTGGTAATAATCGAGAGTCAGCACTGCTCACTTTCAAGCATTTCAGGATAGAGGCTTTCTGGGGAACCTTTTAAGTGGTATCGTGTGCTTGGTTTTAAATATGGACAGGTCTCAATACTTCACTAGTTGTATCTAAGGTTCTTGGTTTTTTCTTTTTAAGAACTCAGTCTTAATAAAACTTACATATTTGAATAAAGTGTCATGGCCACTGGAAGCAAGCATGGAGGTATAGCTGTACAGCAGAGGTCTTAAACTGTATACTCCACAAGGAAATCTTTTCTAGTATTGCCATACCATGTAATATAAATACTAACCTCAGTTTCAATAATAGGTTGTGAACCATGAGTGATTTTTATACCATTCTCCCCTGCCCTTCAGACATCACTGTGTTATATCATTGTCAGTAAAATGTCAGTATAGTAAGCAAATCAACATTATCTCCTTCAGACTTCTTTGTTGATAACTACACTAGTATTTATTTTATAGGGTAATACAGGTTTTTGTGAATTTAGGAATCAAAATGAAAGATTGTAATTAATACTATCCAAAATAGAAGACTAGTACGGTTAATTTATGTAGTTTTTTAAAATTAGTTGCTCATGGTATGTGACTGAAAAACACAGAGTATATAAAGCCAATTAAAAATGGAGTTATATATGCATAAAACATGTTTCTTTTCTTCTTTGTACTTTATATTCTGTATAAAAGTAGCTGCTATCATTAGATTTTGTTTTTTAGAATACTTAATGTTTTGGACCTAACGAAATTGAATAAGATCCCTTTCAAGGTAGTAATGTATTTCTTTTAACCCATCCAACAATTACCGAATTCCCATTTTACAGATGAGTACGACTTACATAAGTTAAGATTGGACAATTAGTGCACTATCAGACACCTAGTTATTCCTGTTTTTAAAAATTATGTGTGGTTCCTTTTACACGACACTGTTTTGGACAGTATAGAATACTGCAGTCTCATTGAGAAATACAGCAATATCTAGAAATATACTAGGGATATGTGAATTGGCTCAGCTTGCATTTTTATTGCAGGAGGCAATTGTTTGTGGATAAGTTTGATACCTTTGAAGCTTCTTTTTAAGCTTGCTGGGGCAAGTCTAGAAAGCCTTCACTCTAAGGTGGATATTTTCAAACTTTATGGTTTTAGAACCTTAACACTCTTTAAAATTACTGGGGACGCCATAGTTTTTGTTCATGAGGATTTTAACTATGGACTATTCAGCATTTTAGAAATTAAAACTAGGAACATTTTGTAACACAAGACTACAGAAGCACAACCTGTACAATGTCAATGTAATATTATGATACAACATGTAGCTTCTATAAACACCACTGTATCATTGTGAATAAATTAAAGTGAAAAAAGGCAAATTAAATCTTAGTATTATTTAAATTTGTTTTAACTTTACAGACCCACTGGGGTTCCCTAGTCCACATTTTGGTAGCTGCAGTCCTAGCATTAGTTTAACCCTATACTTAAGACTTGGCCTTTCTGGGATCACTACTGAATTCTACCCCCTGTTCACCAGTGTCTTTGTACTCTGACTGGTTGTGCTTCACTTGTCTTTGAGCCTTTTGCAAGCTCTGGTAATTGTGCAGCTTACAAATTCCCAGTAGATGTACTTTCCCCTGGTTGTGGGTCTTTGGGCTTCTAGAAGTACGGCTTGGTGTTCCACCAAAGACTTCAGGGGATCCTTTGTAGGTTTCTGGAGCTCTTAGTCCTTATTGCTTCTTCATTTTGAGTACTGTGTCCTGCAAATTCCACTGCCTCGCCTTCCCTAACCTCAGCGAGGCCATTGATTTTACTCTGCTGAGGTTCTCCCTCCCTGGGCAGCGTTCTGGAAAATGTTTCTAGGCAGAATATCATAGGACTCCCTGAGTGTTTCCTTCCTCTCAGAGACCACTGTCTCCTTTACTATGTGTTGTCCAATATCTGAAAACAGTTGTTTCATACACTTTGTCCAATTTTCTACTATCTTATGGGAGAACAGGCTGGTCCCATCTACTCCATTATCATTGAAGCATGTATCAGTATTAGATTATAAAACATATCTGTAACAACTTTGGACATGGTACCATGGATGGAATCCTGGATGACATCTTATTTGAAAAAACTTTTAAAACTAAGGCTAAACTGGTTCAATGGAAGAAAAAAATGATAGTACAACCCCAGTACCTAAGTTAAAAGGAAATTTCAAAGAGGGAGAAATTGTTGAAGCGTTGAAGTACCAGAAGTCAAGAAACACTAACACTAATGTTTCCATTAGATTTGAGAATAAGAAGGTCTTGACAAGCCTGGCTTAAGCAGTTATGAGTGGATGTGGGTGTAGAGACCAGACTGTAGTGTTTTGAAGAGTGAATATAAGTGGAGAAACTTGAGAGTTTGGTTGTAAAAGGGACCACAGGTATCTGTGAAGAAAACTTAGTAGGAATGAAGATAAATATTTTAAAAATTCTACCACTAAACACCTCAGATCTGTCTGCCACTTTGTCTTCAGGTCATTGTTTAAGCCAGGGTCAGGCAGACTGGCCCATAGACTAAATCTGGCCCATTTCCTGTGTTTGCAAATAAACTTTTATTGAAATATGGCCATGTTCTTTGTTTACATATATTTGTAGCGCTTTTTGCAATACACTGGCAGAGTTTTTATAAAGTTGCAACAGATCATATGGCCCTCAAAACTTTCTGTTTACTCTCTGGTCCTTTATTGAAAATATTTGCTGGCTACTGCTCTAAGCCACCCTGATCTTACCCCAGGCCATTTCCTTCATTTGGGCAAATAATATACTAACTTGGTAATCTAAGACAAATTCTTAAAAATCAATAAGCTAATCAAAATAATGAATATACATGTTTAAAAATCAAATGACATTAAAAGCCTTGTAATGGGCCGGGTGTGGTGCCTCACACCTGTCATCCCAGCACTTTGGGAGGCCGAGGCGGGTGGATCACTTGAGGGCAGGAGTTCAAGCCAGCCTGGCCAACACAGTAAAACCCCATCTCTACTAAAAATACAAAAATTAGCCGAGTGTGGTGGCTCATTCCTCTAGTCCTAGCTACTCAGGAGGCTGAGCCAGGAGAATTATTTGAACATGGGAGCCGGAGGTTGCAGTGAGCTGAGATCACACCACTGCACTCCAGCCCAGGCAACAGAGCAAGATTCCATCTCAAAAAAAAAAAAAAAAAGGCCTTGTAATGAACAACCAACTCTTGTCTTACTCTACCTCCACATCTGAGGCAATCACTTTTAATCTTTTCAGGTCTTTTTTCTTGTGGTTAATGCTATAGCTCTAAATAATCAACTGGTTTACTGCTTTATCAATGCTAGATTTTGTTGACTTTCTGCTATGAATAAATAAATTCTGATTTAGGTCTTAAAATACACCTCCTTCCTTCTCCCAATATAGTTGTATTACTATGTTTAGTTCAATTAATAAGGTGTTGGTTATGACTCAGTAAATGTTCACTGCAGATCTAAACAGTATACTATGAGTTTCTTTTGTCTTTCATGGAGTTTTTAATAACAAGAAAGTAATAGTGACTCTCCATTCGTTCTTTGTGTTTGCCTACTATAGAACTATCATATAAGATTATTTTTTAAAGTACTGTTTTTTTCTGGGAGAAGTCCTACCCTCCTTCTAGACATTCCCTTCTCCTGCTCTGATATGTGCCAGTGGCTTCTGGGTGTGTTGTTCTCATCCTTAAACTTCCCTGGCCTGATGTCCTTTGTTGGATCTGTTGATTTATAGATCCCAAGTCTTCCTTTTCTTTGTAATACATCTTCATTCTGTTCCGCATATCTCTAAGTAACTTTATTAGAAGGAGAATGAAGGAGCTGAATTTTGAATCTTCCTGTGTCTACAACGTATTCTGTCTTCACACATAGTTGCTTGTGTAGCTAGGTTGAGAATTGTACTTTGAAAAGTATTTTCCTGTAGAATTGGAAACTTATACTCTTCTAGCATCTGGAGTTGGGAAGTTTTGTGCCATTCTGATGGGTGTTCCTTTGAATTTAACTCTTTTATTTTCTTCTCTGGTAGCTTTTAGGCTTTCATGTACCTCATGATCTGAATTTTTATTCTGTACCCTCATTACTTGCTGTTTCATTATAATGTGGGCACTTGATTGGTTCTGTCTGAGGATCCTAGTCTTTTGAGATCTTTAAGAAGTTCCGCAATCTTAATATTACATGGTGTGGCTTCCTTCAGTTGTTTGTTAGGGATTTGGAGATTCCCAAATATTCTGCTAACTTATACCCTTGAGAGAGGGGAGAATAAACAGAGGGGTGAATGTGAACTTCAGAATTCCTAGCTTCATAGTCTAAATAGAAATCCTCTAAGATCATAAAATGTCCCTAAGAACTCATGCTTTACATTAATTTTTTTGGTATTTTTTCTATTGATTCTAAGCATGGAAATGTAGATGGAGATTTTGTTGATGTATTTTCAATTATGTATCAATAATAGTGAAGCTTACTTGATTTCTTTAAAATCTGGTCACTATATCTATAAATATAGTGGACATTAAATGTACAGCATAAGGTAATTATGTGGACTTTAAAAAGGCATTAAAATATGTGCCATTGTCTATTACTCTGCTCAGTAGGCTCCTAAAAGCGTGTATGAACATGCCCAACCCAGTATTGGGCCTCCGTAGGTGCTCAATAAATGTTAGTTGATTGCCCCTTTCTGCTTCTAGGTACATAAGCACCATATTAATTTATATAGTATATTTGATTATGTTAGGTTAATGCATAAATCACATGGATTGGTTGTTTCTTTTACAGATCACTAAAGTGGTTCTTAGCAAAGGTTGGAGGTGTCTTGAGTGCACTGTTTGTGAGGCCTGTGGGAAGGCAACTGACCCAGGAAGACTCCTGCTGTGTGATGATTGTGACATAAGTTATCACACCTACTGCCTAGACCCTCCATTGCAGACAGTTCCCAAAGGAGGCTGGAAGTGAAGTGCAAATGGTTCTCTAGGGTTTGTTTGCCTTGTTAGTCTTTCAAGTTCAGAGCTTTCTCATACCACTTTAGTTTTTAAAAATTAGCCATACCTATTTAATTGAATAATACACATATTCTATGATACATACCACTAAGCAGAAAAATTTTCACATACACATTAAATCATTTGCCCCATTATGTTCGTATGTAGCTTCCTGAATTACAGTTACTGAATAACTAAGAAAATAAAATGGAGACTTTTCGGGGGGATTTGGATTTCAGGTGTGTTTGGTGCAGACACTGTGGAGCAACATCTGCAGGTCTAAGATGTGAATGGCAGAACAATTACACACAGTGCGCTCCTTGTGCAAGCTTATCTTCCTGTCCAGTCTGCTATTGAAACTATAGAGAAGAAGATCTTATTCTGCAATGTAGACAATGTGATAGGTATTGTGCTGTTTTTTCATCTTTTTAAAGCTTTTCTCTTTGAAATGTAGCAAAAAAAAAAAAAAAAAGGAAAATAGCTTTTCCTTAATCACAAGTTTTAGGTACAGAACTTTTTGCCTTGTAGATTTTTAGTCACCTAGAATCTTACAGAATTGATTTCCTGTTTTGAATTCTCAACTCCAGACTAAAGTTTTGTTTTGTTTTGTTTTGTTTTGTTTTTAAATTTAGAGACAGAGTCTTGTTCTGTCGCCAGGCTGGAGTGCAGCAGCGCTATCTTGGCTCACTGCAAACTCCACCTCCACCTCCTGGGTTCAAGCGATTCTCCTGCCTCAGCCTCCGGAGTAGCTGGGACTACAGGTGCATGCCACCATGCCCAGCTAATTTTTGTATTTTTAGTAGAGACAGGGTTTCACCATGGTGGCCAGGATGGTCTCCATCTTTTGACCTTGTGATCTGCCCGCCTCAGCCTCCCAAAGTTTTATGATTATAGGCGTGAGCCACTGTGTCCACCCAAGACTAAAGATTTTTAATTTAGGCCTTTTTGAGGGTTTAGGAATCCCTTGAAATTAGATGGAGAATTATTGCCTTCATCTATGCCGTTTCTTATGAAGGGTTTCTGAATCTTTTAATTGATTATAAAAATATCTAACACTTTCTGTTCTCCTTAAACCACTTTCTCTTAAAGCTCTAGATACTAGATATCTAGGTATTAGATAGCACCTTCTGCCCTCCCTACGTAATTATGTGGAATTTCAAAATCAAGAATGTTTCCTTGCTTTCATTGGTATATTGTTGTACTCTTTAGAAGTTAAGCAGTGAACATATATTGATAGTATTATTTTATCAGTAGTACAGTATTCTTGGGACTCTGGCTACTAATTATCTGTTCCATTGCAAGACAACTTTTTACTTTATTTCCCAATTACCATTCAACATCGCTTTCCATGAGATATGTCTACTTCAAGTGAGATGCATTGCCTGGAGCCCATATATGCTAGCACTGCCATTTGCAGTTTTCTGAATACCTTTGTGTTTGCCCTAACTAGCTTCCTTGCTGTCTTTGAAATATTTAATATATGATGATAAAATAATTAGCTTCCTTATGTAATGTGCTTTGCTTCCTCTCTAATAGTTGTTCTCATTCCTTTTTATTTCCTCCTTAGCTCTATGAAAGTTTTTCTGTTACTAGGGATAGTTAGGAGAAAAGGGCAAGGTAGGAGGAGCATGTGAGGCTTAGGGCTTTTAAGTTTGAAGACTCAGTGTTACAGGTTTTAAAAGGTAGCAGTTCTCAGTATATTCCATTTTTAAAAAAAAATGTACAAATATGGTCTTTTTAGATGGATGCATGCAGTTCGTCAGAACTTAAATACTGAGGAAGAAGTGGAAAATGTAGCAGACATTGGTTTTGATTGTAACATGTGCAGACCCTATATGCCTGCATCTAATGGTAACAGAATAATTTAAACTGTGAGTCTGCACTCTTGTACCACTCTCTTGCACCTTACTGTCCATAACCAATGAATTAGCTTAGCTCTACTCTATTTTGTCTTTGTGAAACTTACTTTGACAAGTATTTTATGAAAAATATTATTGTTGGTTATACATGACTTATCACAACTTGTTATAAAACAATTTACATGAAACAATAAAAAGCATATACTTTAGATGTAAACTATAATTTTGCTTCCAAGGAACATGATCTTGTAGTTATTGACAATATGTCAAAATCCAATGTGTTGATTCTTTCTTAGCCAGGTTTTCCTCCATGACTTGAGTATTTCCTTCATCACTTCTTGTTTTGTTGTTGCTTTAAAAAGTGCTTTTAACTTTAGTGTTCAAACATTTATTTTAATAAAATGACTATAGAAACAGAAATTTTAATCATATATAAGTATGTAAATACACTTTACCTTTTCTGAAAAGAATTACCTGGATTTTTTTTTTTTTCATTTCAGTGCCTTCCTCAGACTGCTGTGGATCTTCACTTGTAGCACAAATTGTCACAAAAGTAAAAAAGCTAGGTAAAATTTGAAATGCTTTACTTAATTTAATTAATTTACTTTGCTTAATTTTTACATAATTGGCTTACCACTTCTAAAATCTGCTTCAATCATATGGGTGTTCTATCCAAATTCCATAATGTTGGTAATCATTTCCACAATGATATATAAAATGTCATCCAGCTTTACTGGGGCAGTATTCCTATAAATTTCAGCAAGTTGGCAATAAAAATAACAGCTCTTAGAATAACCATTAATGCCATACTTGCTTTGGTTTCATTGATATATTACTGTGCTTAATTATCAGTTAGCAGAAAATACGGCCTAGTTAGCAAGCAGATTTCTTTTAGAATTAATTCAATCTCTTAATTTTTTAAAATAATTAATAAGCCTAGTATGGTGATTAATATGATATTCTTATTAAACAGTCATTCTTTTGAATACTTGTATTTAATAGCACCTGATACAAAAACATTTGGATAGTACAGGAATTGTTCTAAGGAACAACAGTTTTGTATGTTTAAAATTAAATCTGCAGGATTTGTACTTATTTATTACTTCTCCCTGTTAGTAATTATGTTGATACTCTGATTTTTCCAGATGAGCTTCTGGAGTATTCTCTCTCCTCTTGTGTAAATAGATCCCTGCCTTTTGATCTTTTCCAGGAAAAAGCTCATAGTGGATTAGCTGAGCATTGCATTTATTTGCAGTGCTTCTAACTCTTTTTATTGGGACATGAAAAAAGAAATGCCAGGAAGACTTTTTTGAGACGGAGTCTCGCCCTGTCGCCCAGGCTGGAGTGCAGTGGCACGATCTTGGCTCACTGCAACCTCCGCCTCCCGGGTTCAAGCAATTCTCCTGCCTCAGCCTCCCGCATAGCTGGGATTACAGGTGCCCGCCACCACGCCCGGCTAATTTTTTGTATTTTTAGAAGAGACAGAGTTTCACTGTGTTAGCCAGGATGGTCTCGATCTCCTGACCTCGTGATCTGCCTGCCACCTCGGCCTCCCAGAGTGCTGGGATTACAGGCATGAGCCCCCGCACCCAGCCCAGGAAGACCATTTTTTAAAAACATGTAACATTTCTGCCTATAATCCAAGGAAGTTTGACCTATTGTTCCTAGTTTTTATTGGGTATCATGAAGTTAATTATTCATGCATTTCATAGATACATAATTGTTTTCTAGAACTACAGTCACATTCCCTTGATATGGGTATTTTGGAACAGTAATCAGTCAAATTTAAAATGAAAGTTTAAATTTGTATTCTTGGGATTTTGTAATTTTAGACCCACCCAAGACTTATACCCAGGATGATGTGTGTTTGATTGAATCAGGGATGACTCAGTTACAGAGCCTCACAGTTACAGTTCCAAGAAGAAAACTGTCAAAACCAAAACTGAAATTGAAGATTATAAATCAGAATAGCGTGGCCGTCCTTCAGACCCCTCCAGACATCCAATCAGAACATTCAAGGGATGGTGATATGGATGATAGTCGAGGTAATACTAATTTATTTTCCATGAAATTAGTGCAAGAATTACAGCATATAAAGTAACTTTTGAAATATGTGTATGATTTACCAAAGGGTAAATCACACTGACTTAGATAACCCCGATGTGACCCTTGCCATCTCCAAATGAGTGATCTTCTTAGACCTTGCCTTTTCGGGTTCTCTTCCTTTCACACATTTTAGAACAGACCTACCTTACAGAAATCTCAAGGAGCACCATATCTTTGAAGATCACAGGTGGGGAACTACAGAGGGCTTGACTTTAGTTTGCTAGATAATGACACAAACCTTCTCAGATACTGTGAGCTTGGATAATACCATGTTTAAGTTAAGGTAGTTGATGCATACATTCTAGAAATGGAAAAGCTGTCATTTAATATTACTTCAGGTATAACTTCATATTCACCAGTGTGCATCATAAAGTATTGGTTTAAAAACATTTTCTTAATCAAAGTAAATATAAGGTTTTTCCAGCTGAATTCTTTTTTTTTTTTTTTGGTTGGGAGACAGGGTCTTGCTCTGTTGCCCAGGTTAGAGTGCAGTGGCATGATCTTGGCTTACTACAACCTCTGCCTACTGGGTTCATGCGACCCTCCTACCTCAGCCTCCTGAGTAGCTGGGACCATGGATGCGGGCCACCACGCCTGGCTAATTTTTGTATTTTTTTGTAGAGATGGGGTTTTGCCATTTTGCCAAGACTGGTCTTGAACTCCTGGGCTCAAGCCATCTGCTCTGCTCAGCCTGCTGAATTCTTGAGATAGCAAAATATTTTAATAGTAACCTAAAATCCAATATGAGTTAAAGAGGATTACTGTAGGTTTGCTCATTTTTGGGGCGGTTATTTATTTTCAACTGATTCAGAAATGAAGCGATAATTATTTCTGTTCCATTACATTTTATTTCATAGTTTTTTTTTTTTTTAAGGGGCAGTGTCTTGTTACATTGCCCAGGCTGGTTTCCAACTCCTGGGCTCAAGTGATCCTCCTGCCTCAGCCTCTCAAGTAGCAGGTACTATAGGCATGCGCCACTGCAGCCGGCTTTGAGACAATAGAATTAATTGAATACCTACTGTATGTCAGATGTTGGAAATCATATCAGTGTACAAAGCAGGTAGAATTCTCTGCATAGAGTTTATATTTTAATGTTAGGTAACCCAACTCTTAAAAAAAATCAGTTAATTATAATGTGTTTGGCAAGGCCCATGGTAAATATAAAGTTTGATAAAGAGGAATTGCCTGGCCAGGCACAGTGGCTCATGCCTGTAATCTCAGCACTTTGGGAGGCCAAGGTAGGTAGATCACTTGAGGTCAGGAGTTCGAGACCAGACTGGCCAACATGGTGAAACCCGTTCTCTGCTAAAAATACAAAAATTAGCTGGGCTCAGTGGCATGCACCTGTAATCCCAGCTACTTGGGAGGCCAAGGCAGGAGAATTGCTTGAACCTGGGAGGTGGAGGTTAGAGTGAGCCGAGATTGCACCACTGCACTCCAGCGTGGGTGACAGAGAAAGACTCTGTCTCCAAAAAAAAAAGGAATTGGAAGTACAGATGGGTGTTTAGGGTCCATATGCACAGATTTTAAAGAGGTGAGTGAGTGAGCCACTTGATTACCTGAGAGAAGAGCATCCCAGACAGTGAGGAAGCCAGTGTAAAGGCTCTGGGTGAGAGTGTGCTGAGCATGTTTGAAGAGTGTTGTGGAGACCAACAGAGTGAGCAGAGGGGACAGTCAGAAGGTGAGAAGATTAGAGATGTGAGGACAAGAAGGACGGCTCAGTATATCTCACACAACCATAAGGTGGTGTGTCAGTAGTTTGTGCTTAATAGCAATGGAATGAGAGGCCATTGAATGTTCCTGAAAAGAAGAACACCATGATCTTATTTATATTTTAAGAGGAACACTCTCCTATGATATAAGTAGATGATTAGGTGCAAGAGTTATGACAGGTAGATCAGTGAGAAATAATGGTCCAGGTGAGAGGTAATAGTGGCTTTGAAAAGGTATGTCTTTTGTGGCCGGGCTTGGTGGCTCATGCCTGTAATCCCAGCACTTTGGGAGGCCAAGGTGGGTGGATCACCTGAGGTCAGGAGATGAAGACCATCCTGGCCAACATGGTGAAACCTCGTCTTTACTAAAAATACAAAAATTAGCTGGGCGTGGTGGCAGGCACCTGTAATCCCAGCTATTTGGGAGGCAGAGGCAGAGGATTGCTTGAACCCAGGAGGCAGAGGTTGCAGTGAGCCAAGATCGAGCCACTGCACTCCAGCCTGGTGACAGAGTGAGACTCCATCTCAAAAAATAAATAAATACATGAAAAAATATGTCTTTTGTATGTTCTTGATAATTTTTGTTTTGTAGTGTGTTTTGGGTCTATGTTGCTGGGAGAAACACTTTCTGATGCTTTTATGTAACTGATTTTCAGATACAGTTGAACAGGTAATTTGATTTGGGGGCTTGGAGTTTGCAAAGAAGTAGTCCATATACTTGGAGGAATTGATCAGATCAGCATTAACAAGAATTTCCACTTCTGAGGATGTTAAAAAATGTCTGAAAAAGGTTTCCATAGTCTCTTAAATTTGGGAAGTGCTTCATTTCACAAAATATGAAAGGTTTCTTGATAATAGTACACATTGTTTCCCAAATTATGTGATTATAATACCTTTTAAAAACAACACAGAAGACCTTGGAAGGTTTTCCTTGTGACTTACCACTTGTAAACACTGAGAAATGGTGATATGTTTCAATTTCATATTTTCTCATTGACTCGTATCAGGGTAAAAGAAAATCAGTTGAAAAATTACCCTTGCTTTTTTAAAATTTACGTGATAAAATAGCCCATCTGAATTTACTGAATTTGTCCTTATTTTTATTGAATATGAAAAAAGATTGTTTAGTGTGTTGGATGTTAAATGCTAAGACAATTTTAGAATTTAAGGAATTGAATATACTGTATCCTCATGTTCATTTGCATGCCAGGATCTCACATCCTTTGCAGAAGGAAAGGTACATTCCTAGGGATAAAATAAATGCATGTTTCTTGGACAACATTTTTGCTTTCTGTTTGCTAAATAAAAATCCTTTTTAAAAATTTAGTATTGCCACACTTTGCCATATTAAAAATGTTTTAGATTACTATATTATCCTGAAACTACATGGACACACACACCCCTAAAATAAGTTTTATGGTTTTTCATATGCCTGTACGGGAGAAAAAATAGGAAAAGAATACAATCATCATAAGTTCTTATTATTACATTATGCTGAGATTTCTAATAATGCTGCCATTTTCTGGGTATTTTGTATTAAACCTAAAATTTGTGATGTTTTAGACTGTTTCACTAACATGTTTTGATAACGTCTCAGTACCCTTGGGAAAGCATTATAAAGTAGTGGGCAACGATGAAACCTACTCTGGATGTTTTTAGGCAAATTTTTTAACTTCTCTGATGTTAGTGTTCTCATTTATAAAATAGGTGAACCAGGATGAGCCCATAGGATAGTTGTGCTGATGAGGTGCAAGGATGCATGCCAGGCACCCAGCACTGGCTCTTCCCAGACATGGAGTGCTCAGTAACCGTGAGCTATTAGAATACAAGTGCCCAACCAGTGCTTGAGCAATTGTGTTCTGTGTCCAACAGAACTCAACAAAATCCCACGTTTGTCTTTATATGTGAATTCAGTTCCTTTTGAGACAGTAAGAAATTATGCCTGTGTTGGGGTAACTGAACTTTCAGGAGGAGGGAATTGTCTGCCACAATTATTCTCTGAACTTAATGTTTCCATGTCTTTTTCTTCATTTTGGAAGTTGTGGAAAAATTATAATGAAAGAGTATATAAACGTTTTCCTCTGTATTATAGCATCTCTGACAGTTTCCTTTATTAAAAAGTATGTTACATTAGGGAGAGACTTGATGAATTTAAAATTAAAGTTTGAAAAGTGTTATTGACTATAAGTGATCTTCAGCTGTGCAGTTTTCAACTTGAGGTTGTCAGAATGTAATATTACACATTATATTACACACATCTATAGAATCCAAATTGTGATGTTCCTGGAGTATTGGAACAAAACCTATGACTTTTTGTTTCTATTGATTTTTAACTCTTCTAATAACCACTTCTTTAAGAAAAGTCATACATTATCACTTTGGTGTATCAGAAACAAATTCCTTACGCAATAAAAGCATACTTCTTTCTCATTCACCTACTGGGATCTAGAAACCCTGTTAATGCAAGAAAAAAATCCCAAACCTCAATAAAATAACACTCTGTTTGTCTGAAGTGTGGAAACACAACACATTTCCTCTCAACTGGTGGTCCCAGATCGACCATCACAGTGTATGGATGTGTTTGGAGGTGTAGGAATAGGACTGCACTGAGGCTCTAGAAGGCCAGCAGGTGGGGCAGACTGAATGGAGGGAGGGGACTGGCATTCAGTAACTACTGGAGCGTGGGAAGAGTGAGGTAGACTGTCCATCTGGTGAAGGTGGCTGCTTCCTTGAGGTTTGTTACTTTCTGTAATGTTAATTCCCTCAACTTTTAAAATTTGATTTTTAGACAAGTTATACATTCAAATGATTTAAAATTGGAAAATAATAAAAAGGTAAACAGTGAAGTCTCTCCCTTTCCCCTGCCTTCATGCCCCCAGTTTACATCTCCAGAAACCTCAGAGGTTTCTCGTGTAACCTTCCAGATGTATTTTATGCATGTACAAGGAAATGTGTGTGTATATATATATATATTTTGTGTGTGTGTGTGTATATATATTTTGTTCCTTTTGTCTTACTACTTTTTACTGTCCTTCATTTTTTTATGGCTGCAAATATTCCTTTGTATGGAAATATAAGCAATTTAATTTACCTGTTCTTTCCCCTGTTGATAGACCTTTGGGTTTCTTTAAATTTTTTTTTTTTTTTTTTTTTTTTTTTTTTTTTTTTGAGACAGAGTCTCGCTCTGTCGCCCAGTCTGGAGTGCAGTGGCACGATCTTCGCTCACTGCAAGCTCCGCCTCCCGGGTTCACGCCATTCTCCTGCCTCAGCCTCCCGAGTAGCTGGGACTACAGGCGCCCGCCACCACGCCCGGCTAATTTTTTTGTATTTTTAGTGAGACGGGGTTTCACCATGTTAGTCAGGATGGTCTCTATCTCCTGACCTCGTGATCTGCCCGCCTCGGCCTCCCAAAGTGCTGGGATTACAGGCGTGAGCCACCGCGCCCGACTTTCTTTCAATCTTTTACTGTGAATAGTACAATGAATCACCTGGTATATTTATAATGTTGTATGTAAGTGGGCCTGCAAAGGTGAATTCCTTGCTAAATCCAAAGACATAATGCATTTGAAACTGTTTTTGGCAGGTAGGATACAGTTTTTTTTTTTTTCATTTATTTTTATTATACATATCTGAGGTATACAACATGCTTTGTATACATAGTGAAATGATTACTATGGTCAAACAAATGTCTGTATCCTTCACCTTCCATAGTTACTCTCTGTGTGTGTACACCTAAAATCTCTTTCAGCAAATTTTCAGTACACAATATTATTAACTATGGTTCTCATGCTGTGTATTAATTTGATCTCTAGAATTATTCATCTTACCTAACTGCAGATTTGTACCCTCTGACCCACTTCTGCCCATCCTACCCATCCCCTACCTCCAGACCCTTGATAACCACCATTCTACTCTCTATACATTCAGTTTCTCACTCCCCTGCTTCCCATTCTGCTTCTTAAGTGAGATCATACAGTATTTTTCTGTGTCTGGCTTACTTTATTTAGCATACTTTCCTCCCAGTTCATCCATGTTGTCACAAATGGCAGTATCTCCTTTCTTAAAGCTAACTATTCCATTGTATAAAGTCCTCATTGTCATCAGTAAGTTCTTAGAAACTGTGGTTAAGAGGGGAAAAAAAAGTATGAAAAACTGATTTTTTTTTCATTTTGCATTATGCCAAAATTAGATTGAAGGAAACAGTGTTACTTGAGGACCTGCTGTATGTTCATTTAGCTTAACGTCTCAGTTCCCAAGAACCTATTGATGACATTAAGGGAGGACTTAATATATGTATATACAAACGTCACAATTTCTTTATCCATTCATCTGTCCTTGAATGGGTAAGTAAATTGTCCATTAGGACACTTAGTTTGTTTCCATATCTTGGCTATTGGGAGTAATGCCGCCATGAACGTGGGAGTGCAGATGTCTCTCTCAGATGCTGATTTTATTACCTTTGAATATATGCCCAACAGAGGCATTGTTGGATCTTATGGTAGTTGTATTTTTTTTAAGGAAACTCTATACTGTTTTCAATAATGGCTATACTAATTTACATTCCTATCAACCATGTACAAAGGTTTCATTTTCTACACATCCTCACCAACACTTATGTCTTTGCCTTTTTGTTAATAGTCATTCTAAGAGACACGAGATGATATCTATTGTGGTTTTAATTTTCATTTTCCTCATGATTATGATGTTGAGCATCTTTTCATATACCATTTGACCATTTGTGTGACTTTGGAAAAATGGCTATTCAGGTCCTTGCCTATTTTAAAATCCAGTTATTTGGGGTTTTTTTTTTTGCTACTGAGTTGTGTGAGTTCCTTATATGTTTTGGATTTTAATGCCTTATCAGATGTGTGGTTTGCCAATATTTTCCCCTAATCCCTGTGCTACCTTTTTACCCCGTTTGGTTTTTTTTTATTGCTATGCAGAAGCTTATTTGCTTGATGTAGTCCCACTTGCTTAATTTTGCTTTTGCTACCTGAGCTTTTGGTGTGATATCCAAAAAATCATTGTCAAGGAGGATATTAAGGAGTTTTTCTCCTATATTTCCTTCTAGGAGTTTTATGGTTTCAGGTGTTAGGTATTTAATCTATTTTGAGTTGCTTTTTATGTATGATGTGTAAGACAGGCATCAGGTCCAGTTTCATTCTTTTGCATATAGATATCTAGTTTTCTTACCACTACTTATTGAAGACACCATCTTTTCCCTATTGTATCTTATTGGACTTGTCAAAAATTAGCTCATAATATATGTTTGGGTTTGATAGTTTGATAACTATCACTTTGTAATATAAGTTGAAATCAGGTAGTGTGATACCTTCTACTTTGTTTTTCTTTCTCAAGATTCTTTTGGCTATTCAGGGTCTTTTATGATTTAATACAAATTTTAGAATTGTGTTTTCTATTTTTGTGAAAAATGCCTTTGGAAATTTGATAGGGATTGCATTGAATCTGTAGATCACTTTGGATAGTATGGACATTTTAACAATATTCTTCCAATCCACAAACTTGGGGATATCGTTATATTTATTTGTGTCTTTAGTTTTTTTCTGTTTTTTTGAGACAGAGTCACGCTGTGTTGCCCAGGCAGAAGTGCAGTGGTGTGATCTCAGCTCACTGCAACCTCCGCCGCCTCCTGGGTTCAAGCAATTCTGCTGCCTCAGCCCCCCAAGTAGCTGGGATTACAGGTGCCTGCCATCATGCCCGCCTGGCCAATTTTTGTATTTTTAGTAGAGACAGGGTTTCGCCATGTTGGCCAGGCTGGTCTTGAACTCCTGACTTCAGGTGATCTACCCGCCTTGGCCTCCCAAAATGCTGGGATTACAGGTGTGAGCCACCATGCCCGGCTGTGTGTCTTCAGTTTACTTTGTCAGTATTTTATAGTGTTTAGTATATAAAGTTTTCACTTCCTTCATTAAATTTGTTCCTCAGTGTTTTATTCTTTTTGATGTTATTTTAAGTGGAAATGTTTTCTTGATTTTTTTTCAGATCATTATTTGTATAAAGAAATGCATCTGATTTTTGTATATTGATTTTGTATCCTGCTACTTGACTGAATTCATTTATTCTAGTAACTGTGGAATTTTTAGGGGTTTCTACATACAGGATCATGTCATCTGCACACAGGGATAATTTTACCCCATTTTTTCTGCTGATGCCTTTTATTTCCTTTTCTTATGTGATTGCTCTGGCTAGGACTATGGTGAATATAAGTGTTAAGAGTAGGCATCCTTGCCTTGTAGCAGATATTGAAGAAAAGCTTTCAGTCTTTCCCTGTTGTAGGTTTGTTTTTGAATAGGCAATACCTGTGCATGATACAAGAAATACAAAGGTCTTAAAAAGAGTGAACAATGTTAAGTTAGCCTACCTTTTGGCCATCCCTTCCTTGGAAAGAACCAGTGTTTTCTTATAACTTTCCAGAGATTAGTCATCTAGATACAAGTATGTATATATGGGAGAATTTCTCATATTTGGGTGATAACGGTCTTTTTCTCTTTTTCTTTTCTTTTCTTTTCTTTCTGTCTTTCTTTCTGTCCTCGTCTCGTCTCTTCTCTTCTCTTTTCTTCGTTTCTTTTGATGGAGTCTTGCTTTGTCGCCCAGGCTGGAGTGTAGTGGCGCAATCTCGGCTCACTGCAAGCTCTGCCTCCCAAGTTCACGCCATTCTCTTGCCTCAGCCTCTGGAGTAGCTGGGACTACAGGCACCCGCCACCACGCCCGGCTAATTTTTTGTATTTTTAGTAGAGACAGGTTTTCACCGTGTTAGCCAGGATGGTCTCTATCTCCTGACCTCGTGATCCACCCGCCTCAGCCTCCCAAAGTGCTGGAGAGGCATGAGCCACCGTGCCTGGCCGATAACAGTCTTTTTCTTTATTTCAGCCTGTGGGAATCAGAAGGCCCTTGTGAAGATGTTGGTTAGAAGAGACTTTAGCCTACAGTGATACCACTTGTGTTAGGGCACTGTATGTGCTACTTTATGCCATTTGTCTCAACATGTATGCTTACTGGTGTCACTGTGAACCTCATCAATAAAAGTGCTCTCTTGGTTTTTACTGTCCTTGTGGTGCATTGTTTCAGGTGAAAGGTGGCCTTTGTGCTAGATCCAGTGCTATCCTTGGCCACAAACCATTACATATGATTAACTTGGGGATTTCCTCTTCATCATCCTGGAGATCATCTTCTGTTCTCTCCTGTGTTACATGTGTTTTCTGCAATTTCATGAATTTCTCTTTATTTCTTCCCTCAATTTGGGTGGAACGTATCTTCCATAGCTCCCTGACAGAGAATGTGTGGAAGGTAAGTTTTGAGCATTATATACTTCTGAAAATGTCTTTATTTTACCTTCCTACCTGACTCATCTTTTCCAGGTTGGAAACACATTTTCATTTATCATTTTTAGTCAATTGATCCACTGTCTTTTAGTTTCTAGTATATGAAGAACTCGGTTTTTTCTATGTGACCTGTGTTTTCTTGGAAGCTCTTAAGATTTTAGGAAATTCTTTGTCCTCAGTGTTCTAAAATTTCATGAGGATAACGTCTGTTTTTGTCTATTTTTGATATTTAAAATCTGTTTCGTTAGGCACTGAGTGGTCTCTTTCAGTCTGCTGTCTTATATCCTTCAGTGGTAGGAAATGTTCTTGAACTATATTATTGATAACAATTCCCTCTCTTTTTCCAGAATTCTGCTTTTCAGATGTGAAACATACTCAGTTTTTCTCTGCTTCTTTTCAATTCATGTCCTTATTTTATCTCCCGCTACTGAGTTTTGTTTTTATTTCAGTTATTTCAAGAGCTTTCTTTCCTCCCTTTGAATGTTTCTTTTGTAGCATCCTATTCTTGCCTCAAGGGTATCTTATATTATCCCTCAGAGGATTTTAATCCTTTTGAAGATTTTTTTTTCTTCCTACTTAGTCTGTTAATTCCAAATTGTCTTTTATGTTCTCAGGTCTCTGTCTTTTATGTTACAGATCAAGGGTGTTGCAGATCTTCTGGCTTCCATGGCCCACATTGGAAGAAGCATTGTCTTGGGCCACACGTAAAATACACGAATGATAGCTGGTGAGCTTTTTTTTAAAAAAAAAAAACCTCATAAAAAGTCTCATAATGTTTTATGAAAGTTTATGAATTTGTGTTGGGCTGCATTTAAAGCATCTTGGCTGCAGGTTGGACAAGCTTGTTATAGACCATTGTCAGATAATCTTTATGGTACATGCATGATTAAAAGTGAAGAACTAAAGATGGAGACTGGATAGATAGTATTTTTATTTTTAAAAAAGGAATTAAGTAGTTGATTAGAAAGCTTTGAGTATGTGGCGGTGCTTGTCGATTTGTAAGTTTAGTGGGGTGATTTGTGCTGACCATTTGGTGAACCCTCTGGTTTCAGTATCTTTAGATGTTCTTCTTGAACTGATCAGGTTCCCCACAACAGTCTTTTCAAACCTCATACTTGGAGGCTAGAGATCTGGCTGCTAGCTTTCTGAGAATTCAGTGGGGAAATGTGGGGTCCGGCAGCGGGAGCAGAATGGGGTTGTCCACAATTAGTATGCCCGTATTTTCTTGGTCCTATTTTCGATCTTCATCCCATTGTTCCATTTAAGGTCACCCAGGAATCCTCATCCCACAAATGAGAGTAGCAGCTTCTCAGTGTGTAAACCTAGGAAGCAGGTGTAGGAAGTATAACTTCTGCAGATAATTAAATCTCTTGTTGCTTCAGTTTTCTCCCACTTATTTCCAAAGGTGGCCAGTTTTCCTAGTTTCTCAGCCTTCTGAGGATTGTTATAAACTGGATTCTTTTTTTCAGTTCTTTCTGCTCTCAACTGAGAATTTGCCTTCGTTAACTTGTTTTTCTCCTTTCCTATTGTCTTTTTTTTTTTTTTTTTTTTTTTTTTTTTTTTTTTTTTTAAGGAGATTGGGTCTTTCTCTGTTGTCCAGGCTGGAATGCAGTAGTGTGATCATAACTCACTGTAGCCTCAACCTTCTGGGCTCAAGCAATTCTCTTCTCCCACCTCAGCCTCCCAACTAGCTGGGATTACAGGCATGCCACCATGCCACAGCTTGATTTTATCTTTTAAAAATAGATTATTTCAGTGTGTTTTTAGTAGGGTTTCAGGAGAATGTAATTTTAATGTATGAATTTAGTCTGCCACCTTAACCCAAAATTCCCTGTCATTAACTTTTAGGTGGGTTTATTTGAAGGTAAACAATTGGTATTGTCATCTTTGGTGCTTGTTTTTTTCAGTAATTTTCTTTTTTCTTTTCTTTTCTTTCTTTCTTTTTTTTTTTTTTTGAGACGGAGTCTCGCTGTCGCCCAGGCTGGAGTGCAATGGTGCCAACTTGGCTCACTGCAAGCTCTGCCTCCCGGGTTCACGCCATGCTCCTGCCTCAGCCTCCCACGTGGCTGGGACTACAGGCACCAGCCACCTCACCTGGCTAATTTTTTGTATTTTTAGTAGAGACAGGGTTTCACCGTGTTAGCCAGGATGGTCTCGATCTCCTGACCTCGTGATCCACCCACCTTGGCCTCCCAAAGTGCTAGGATTACAGGCATGAGCCACCGCGCCCGGCCTTTTTTTTTTTTTTTTTTTGAGAGATGGAATTTCACTCTTGTTGCTCAGGCTGGAGTGCAATGGCACGATCTCGGCTCACTGAAACCTCCGCCTCCCAGGTTCAAGCAGTTCTCCTGCCTCAGCCTCCTGAATAGCTGGGATTTTAGGCATGTACCACCACGCCCAGATAATTTTGTATTTTTAGTAGAGACTCACCATGTTGGTCAAGCTGGTACGGAACTTCTGACCTCAAGTGATCCACCTGCTTTGACCTCCCAAAGTGCTGGGATTATGGGCATGAGCCACCGTGCCTGGTCTATAAACTTTTCTTTTCATGGTTTAGTCATAAGTCCATAGCCATTATCAGATTGTTATGGAATTGGCCTTAAATATAGACCAAATATAATAAAAAAGAAAAGACAAATACCCTGTTCATGTCATTACAGAAATACGTTATCTCTAATACTGAGAATATTGAAGGAGTTAACAACTTGATTTTAAAATGTATTTGATAAACATATCTTTTTCCTGTAATACAATGTAAAGCATATATAACTTGGAAAAGTTTGATTACCATAGTGTTAAAATAGCATTCTCTAAAATAGCATTCTCTAAGCATTCCATTTACCTCATTCAGTGAAGTATTTATTGAACATGTATTAGGTATCCTACTAACAATACACCTGTTACTAAGAAAATCTGTGTACCTGTTCTCATGGAGAATATAGTCTAGCAGGGACACAGATTTTAAAGAACCAATAAAAATGAAGCATGACGTTCATACATACGAGCATACAACTGTTTGACATAATCTTATCTAAATATCAGGAATTCTTTAATACAGTGAAGTTTAGAATAAATCCTGAAAGATAAGTTAGGTAGAAGGCAGAAATTGGGGAAGATAGTGGAAGAAAGAGCTTGATACATTCAAAGAACTGAGCATAGTTCCCTGGTGGGAGTGAGATGAAGCTGGAAAGTTTACAAGAGACTGTTGTAATGGGCCTTGTAATTTGAAGTTTATTTTGAGGGCATTGGGAAGACATGAAAGGATTTTAAGCAGAAAATTGATACATATTTATAGAAAGATCATTTATGCAGTAATTTAAAGAATTGATTGGAGAGAGGTAAGCTTTGAGGTGGGCAACTAGATAGGAGCATATTGTATTAATAGTGAGTCATCTGAGGTTGGACTAAGATGGTAGTAGAGAGTGATAAAATGCATTTCAGAGGTATTGAGGAGTCTTGGTTGTAGGAGGAAAGAGATTAGGAATGATTAAGGTGGTCTTCCAGGCCTCTGTCTTCTCCAGGTTACATTTCCATGCCTTTTAATGATGATAGGTAACATGGGAAAAAGGAGAAAGTTTATTTTAAATTAGTAGTTCATTTTGGATACACAGTTTTCAGTAACTAGGTAATATTCAATTATAGCTGTGGTTGAAGCTCAGAAGAGAGTTCTAGTCTAGAGACCTGGACCTGAAGACATAATTAAAAGCAAGTGAATTTGTTAAGTGCAAATGGGTTGCACTTAACAGAACTCTGAGTTCTGTGTTCCCCTTCTCTGATTATGTTTTATTTCATGGGAACACTGCACTAAGCAGCACAATTTCTAGAACCATTTGGGGCTGCTTCTATCTCCTTTCATACTTTCCCTACCAACAGGGATGTACAATTAAAATGGCTCAGCAACAACCCTACTTTTTATTCCCCATGATGTAGGGATTATATATTTGATAGGTTTTTCCAGTTTTGTGTATACATTTACTTTTTTCCAGAAGGAGAACTTATGGATTGTGATGGAAAATCAGAATCTAGTCCTGAGCGGGAAGCTGTGAATGATGAAACTAAGGGAGTGGAAGGAACAGATGGTGTCAAAAAGAGAAAAAGGAAACCATACAGACCAGGTATAGTGCCTGAGGTAGACATTTCAATATCATCAACACTTGGTTAATTAAAGAAAAATACAATACTGAAGACTTCAATTAAAATTAAATATTCAGGATTAAGAACTGTCTAAACAAAAAAATGTGCACATAAATTAAAGAACTAAACTATTTGAATACGACTTTTTAGCTCTAGAGTTCTTTATTTTGAATATGTGAATACTTCACAATGAATCATTATTGAATGCCTTATCCCAAATGTTAACCATTTTATTAAATGCTTTACTAGATTGGCTTTTGTTCATACTTGGACTTTGAAGGCCATTTATATAGTTCCTCTGGATGTGTACTTCTGTAACGCTTTTAATTTTCAGTATTCACTTTCTAATATCTTTTTTTGAAAAAACTTATTTCAGTGTTTATGCAGGAGTGCCAGTAAGTATACAGTGTGAAGGGGAACAAGACAGAGTTATTATGGCTCCTAGAATTTATAGTCCAGTTAAAAACCATGATTGATTAAACACTCATTTCTTATCTGCCTCAGGAGTGGAGAGAAAAGCGGTCTTGCCTGTCAGTTTTATTTGCCTTATTGGAAAAAATTATTAAAATTGTCACAATACAGAAGTTGTAGGCTTTTATGTATTTATTTAAAATTTTTTTTCCCGCTTTTCACACGTGTTGAGTAGGCTTTCCTTAGCCAGTTTATTAATGTCTGTTTACCAATGAGGTTTTAAATTGGATTCGTACAATCTTTATGCTTCTTATTGCTTATATTTTATTGGTAAGAGTGATCTAAATCCCTTTTGATATGTAAGGAAGAACTTTCTTACTTCATTCGTATTCCATGAGACCTTAAAAGATAACCTGTCTTTTAAATAGGTCATATCTATAATAAGGACCTACGGTGAGTTGCTTCTAAATCATTTTATGAAAATGATTTCATTTCTTCCTAATCATGAGGCTTATAAGTGTACTTTTTTAGACATTGCAGATTTCTTCCAGGAACTTGTATTTACTGTTTTCTTTTCCTCTGCCTCACATGGAAGTCAACCCTCTAATTGAGGGACCCATTAGGTCACAGAGTATATTGCTAGACAGCGATATCATTTCACAAAAGCTTATAGTGTTGACTGTGTACCAGACCTCTATTCTAAGCACTTCACTTATGTTATTTGTCCTTTTAACATATGTATGAGAAGCTGCTTTGCCTTACCCCCATATTTAACCAGTGAAAGAATTGAGGCATTGAGAAGTATTTAGTGAGTAAGCAGAATTACATAGTCTGACTCCAGATTCCACGCTCTTAACCACAGGGCTCTATGTGTCCCATGTATAAATGCCCTCATACGTTGGAGTACCAGACACTGTCCCCCTGAAATCATATCAGTCAAAGAATATTTGTGTCATCTAGGTAGTTTGTGTCTTCTGTCCTCCAGCTAATGTACCAGTTAGCCGGTTAATATACAGACACAGTCATCCATCACTTAAGTTCAGAGAAATACATCATTAGGCATTTTCATCCTTGTGTGAACATCATAGAGTGCACTTCCACAAACCTAGATGGTATAGCTTACTACACACTTAGGCTGTATGGTACGCTAAATTCATTTAAAAAAATAAAGTAATTGTGCTACGGTGTTATAACTACGGTGATGTCTGTATGTGGTGGGAATTTTTCAGCTCCATCATAATCTTATGGGACCACTGCCTTGACATGCAGCCCTTTGTTGACCAACATCATTATGCAGTGCATGACTGTTATGTGATGTATGAGGCACTAATATTTGTCAAATAGATAAGCCAGCGTAATTTAGTGTTTGATATTTACACTGATACTGTTGAGAAGAGGAAGTGCACACAGGTCTTTTTGTATTCTGTTTGATAAGTGGTAACAGTGGCTTTGCCTTTTTTTTTTTTTGGTTGTTTTTAACTTCTATTTTACCTAAAACTCAGGTTATTTATTTAGACTAGCACAGACTTAATTTTGGAAAATGACTTACTATTCAAGATAAAGCATTTTTATCCTGTGTACTGTGGAAACGTAGGGAGAAATTATTTATCAGTTTACCCAATTTCTTTTTTGGATAGGTATTGGTGGATTTATGGTGCGGCAAAGAAGTCGAACTGGGCAAGGGAAAACCAAAAGATCTGTGATCAGAAAAGATTCCTCAGGCTCTGTTTCTGAGCAGTTACCTTGCAGAGGTGATGGTATAGTACTGACTTAAAATTTTTTTTTTTTTATGTAACCCCTTGGTCTTGATATTTCTATTGGAAAGAACTATCCTAAATAATGTTACAGTCAATAAGAGCCTTATTGCCTCTTATTGTTACTCAATAAGAGTCTTATTGCCTTTTATTGATGAAAGGATTTGAGTGCATATAGAGTTCATATCTGTAATACAGCAATCAGGTTTTATAAGGAAATGGTTTAAATCCAATAGACTTTATTCTTTTGAGATTTTTTGACAAGCTCTTTTTTCCTGTATCAAATTATTAAATATATTTTCTATATTTAAATATAAATGGTTTAGGGACTGAATAACTTAGTTACATAAAGTACTTTATGGTCATCTCCAAAGCCTTTCTTTGACTGCCTTAGCTACTTATCATATAATTTGAAATTCTCAAGTGACAGTGCACCTCAATTTTTATGTATGTATGTATGTATGTATGTATGTATGTATGTATGTATGTATCTATCTGTCTATCTGTCTATCTATCTATCTATCTGCCTATCTTAGGGTCTCACTATGTCATCCAGGTTGGCGTGCAGTGGCACAATCATGGGTCACTGCAGCCTTGCACTCCTGAGCTCAGGCAATTCTCCTGTCCTCAGCCTCTGATGTAGCTGGAGACCACAGGCACACAACCACCATGCCTAGCTAATTTTTTGGCTTTTTGCAAAGACAGGGTCTCACTTTGTTGCCCAGGCTGGCCTAGAACTCCTGTGCTCAAGCGATCCTCCTGCCTCAGCCTCCCAAAGTGCTGGGATTACAAGCATGAGCCAGCCACTGCGCTCAGCCCTCTTCTTACTATTATTATTATTATTGTTATGGTTGTAGAAGTAACCTGAAATAGAGATACATTTAAATATCTGAGTGAGTGATTTCAGCAAAGGAGAGAGACCCTGTGTTACTATTTTAGGAGTGCTCTTGATTGTGTGAACCCGTTGAATACACCACTTACTAACCGAGCCCGGCCATTTTGCTCAGATTATTCAGAGCTCTCAGGCCCATTCAGAATGAAATTCAAAATCTTTACCATGGCCAGAAAGATCCGTGCAATCAAGATGCACCATCCCCATCCTAATTTCCGGGCTTGTCGCCACGCCAGCCACAATGCCATGCTGGCCTCCTTGCTGTTCTTTGAGACACTGGGTGCACTTTGCTTCAAGGACTTCGCTTGCCTGTCCCTGAACCTGGAATGCTCTTCCCCTAGAACTCCTTGTGGCTGCCACTGTCACCCCCTTCAGATCTTTATTTAGATGTGTCTATGATGAAGCCTTTCAGGGCCGATCTATTTAACATTTCCCTCACCACCCCTCCACTCTGTAGCCCCTTTGCCCCTTGTATTTTTCTCCATAGTACTTATTATAATATCTAACACACTATAATATCAAATGTTAACTCCATGAGGATAGGCATTTTGATCTATTTGGTTCCCTGCGGCATCTCCAGCACCTAGAACAATGCCTGGTGTACATAGTGGGTGCTTATTAGGTACATGTCACATGAAAGAGGAAAAAAACGAGTGTATTAAAGAATCCAGGAGCCGGGCGAGGTGTGTCATGCCAGTAATCCTAGCACTTTGGGAGGCTGAGGTGGGTGCATCGCCTGAGTTCGAGCCCAGCCTGGCCAACATAGTGAAACCCCGTCTCTACTAAAAATACAAAAATTCAGCTGGGTGTGGTGGCAGGTGCCTGTAATCCTAGCTACTAGGGAGGCTGAGGCAGGAGAATCGCTTGAACTGGGGAGGCAGACGTCGCAGTGAGCCAAGATTGCGCCATTGCACTCCAGCCTGGGCAACAAGAGTGAAACACTGTCTCAAAAAAAAAAAAAAAAAAAAAAGAATCCAGGGAGGCCAGGAGCAGTGGCTCACACCTGTAATCAATCTCAGCACTTTGGGAGGCGGGCAGATCACTTGAGGTCAGGAGTTGGAGACCAAAATGGTGAAACCCTGTCTCTACTAAAAATTCAAAAATCAGCCAGGTGTGGTGGTGCACGCCTGTAATCCCAGCTACTCAGGAGGCTCAGGCAGGAGAATCACTTGAACCCCAGAGGTTGCAGTGAGCTGAGATCACGCCACTGCACTCCAGCCTGGGCGACAGAGTGAGACATTGTCTCAAACAAACAAACAAACAAACAAACAAAAACCCAAGGAGCACAGAACAGCTACATATTGGAACAGCTAAATATTGGAGTACCTACTGTGTGTTGACCATTCCACAGCATGGAGGAAACTGGTCTTCCCTTGGAAGAGCCTCCCCACTATTCAGGTGGTAAGAGAAATAACATACCCAGGGCTAGGCATAATGCAGACAGTGTTATAAAGGAGGCATTGAACAAAGGAGAGAGTAACTGAAGGAGGTGGCATTTTGAGTGACCTTGGGGCCGATTAGGGTGGTTACAGGTTGATGTTTATATATATGGCATATATGTTGGGGGATTGGGTGGCGGGGAGGGGTGCAGGCAGTCAGAATAGAGCAAAGAGAGGAGTAAGTATAGAATGGTGTATCAAATGTTTATCCAAAAGCAGGATATGGAACTAGTAAACATTTTATTCACAGTGTGTATTTTTTTTGAGAGGGAGTCTCGCTCTGTTGCCCAGTGGCATGATCTCGGCTCACTGCAACCTCTGCCTGCTGGGTTCAAGTGATTCTCCTGCCTCAGCCTCCCAAGTAGCTGGGATTACAGGCGCACGCCACTACGCCTGGCTAATTTTTGTATTTTTAGTAGAGACGGGGTTTTGCCATGTTGGCCAGGCTGGTCTCGAACGCCTGACCTCAGGTGATCAGCCCACCTCTGCCTCCCAAAGTGCTGGGATTACAGGCATGAGCCACTGCACCCGGCCTGTTGTCTATATTCTATTTTTTTTTTTTCTGAGATGGAGTCTTGCTCTGTCACCCAGGCTAGAGTGCAGTGGCGCGATCTTGGCTCACTGCAACCTCTGCCTCCAGGGTTCAAGCGATTCTCCTGCCTCAGTCTCCTCAGTAGCTGGGATTACAGGCTCCTGCCACAGTGCCCAGCTGATTTTTTTGTTTTTTTAGAGGAGACGGGGTTTCACCATGTTGGCCAGGCTGGTCTTGAACTCCTGACCTTGTGATCCACCCGCCTCGGCTTCCCAAAGTGCTGGGATTACAGGTGTGAGCCACCGCGCCCAACCTGTTGTCTATATTCTAAAATTTGGATAATTTGGATATGGTATAGTTTATGTGGCCATTTTCTTTTGGTGAACATGTAGGTTGTTTCTAGCTTTTCGCTATTGGAAACAGTGCTGCATCCTTGTGTATGCTTTCTGCATGAGTGATATTTCTCTAGGATACATACTGTAATTATATGCTTGTCTATTTTTTTGTGTTTTAATTTATTTAATGTCTGTGCTTCCTGTGAAAATACAAGCTCCATGAGGGGAGGAATCCAATTTGTTTTGTGCCGCACTCTTTAATTATTATCTAGCCAAGTGCTTGGGAGAAAGGAGAGGTCAATAAATATATACTGAGTGAATCAGGCTGAAAGATTGGCTGGGACCATGGTGTGGTTTTGTATCCTAAGAGAGGGAGCCTGACTTATTTTGGAAAAGTAAAATTTTTTTTGGAGAATTTCACACAAAGCAGTAGCAGGATGGTTATTGGTGGAATTTAGGAAAACGTATTCTGGACTAGAAAGAAGGCAGGTACAGGAGGTGCGATTATGAGATTATTACACAGGCTAGAAGGAAACAAAGAAACATGGGTGGTGAGAATAGAAGGGAAAGGGTACATACATTTCAGAGAGATCAGAAGGATAGGATTTGTGAGATTTACTAAGTAGCTATAAGGGGTGAAGTAAAGAAAGCATAGAAGGAAAGTTGATTTCTAGCGTAGAACATTTTAATTTTACAAACATTTATTCCCTCTCCCAGCTCCATGGAAAAAGTACTCACTAATTGCTGTTGGTATATTAATTTGTATTACATTTTCTTCCCCACTTTCTCTTTTTTTTTTGAGACAGGGTCTGTGGCCCAGGCTGGAGTGCGGTGATGCCATCTTGGCTCACTGCAGCCTTGACCTCCCCGGGATCAAGAGATCCTTCCACCTCAGCCTCCTGAGTAGCTGGGACCATGTGTGCCAGCCACCATGCCCAGCTAATTATTATTTTTTTTTTTGAGACGGAGTCTCACTCTGTCCCCCAGGCTGGAGTGCAGTGGCGCAATCTCAGCTCACTGCAGCCTCCGCTCCCTGATTCATGCCATTCTCCTGCCTCAACCTCCCAAGTAGCTAGGACTACAGGCACCTGCCACCACGCCCGGCTAATTTTTTTTGTATTTTTAGTAGAGAGAAGGTTTCACTGTGTTAGCCAGGATGGTCTGGAACTCCTGACCTCGTGATCCGCCCGCCTCGGCCTCCAAAATGCTGGGATTACAGGCGTGAGCCACCGTGCCCAGCCCTATGCCCAGCTAATTTTTATATTTTTCGTAGAGACAGGGTTTCGCTGTATTGCCCAGGCTGGTCTTGAACTCTCGGGTTTAGGTGAGCGCCTTGGCCCCCGAAAGTGCTGGGATTATAGGCATGAGCCACTGTGCCTGGTTTCCCTTTCAAAAGAGATTTTGGGTGTTTCGTGTCACTGTATCCACGCCGCGTGCGGTCTCTTGTGCGTGGCTTCTTTTCCTGAGCACGCACAGCTGCCTTCTAACCCGCGAGCAATGGCGTTAAGGTTTTTGTTTGTAATTCGGGGGTGACCCAGGGGTTCGGGCCGCGGGCCCCTCCCCTCGCCCAGGCACACCTTGCAGAGGAGGGGGCGGCGGGGACAGGACCCGGGTCTGTGCCTGCGCACACCCTCGCGGGCCAACCCCCTCCCCCCCCGCCCCGCCGGGTACCTGTCACGGCTACTGCCGCGGCGCGCGCCCGCCACGTTAAGCCGGATGGCGGGAGGAGGGGTGCGGGGAGGGTGGCACGGCGCGCGCGTGCGCGGGAGTCGCCGAGCAAGAACTGGTAGTGCGCGCGCTCGCCGCTCGCTCGCGTCCCGGAGGCGGAGTCTGCGGCGGCGGGCGGAACGGGGGCGCGCCTATGCTAGTCACGTGGGCGCTGGGGCGGGGCCGGGCGGCCGTTCAAGGCAGGGGGCGGGGCGTCTCCGAGCGGCGGGGCCAAGGGAGGGCACAACAGCTGCTACCTGAACAGTTTCTGACCCAACAGTTACCCAGCGCCGGACTCGCTGCGCCCCGGCGGCTCTAGGGACCCCCGGCGCCTACACTTAGCTCCGCGCCCGAGGTGAGCCCAGGCCCTAAGTCCTCCGGGCGGGGGTAGGGGTGGGGGACGCTCCTTTTTGTTGGGGGGGGGTCTTGGAGGCGCGAAGGCACTAGGCGCCTCGGCGGATGGCTGAACCCCTCGCCCGCGGCTCCCCGTGTCTTTTGGGGGGCCGGGTGCGGGCGCGGAATCCGGGAGGTGTCCGCACAAAAGGCCGAGAAAAACTCCGCGACGCCTCCCTCCCTCCCTCCGCCCTCCCCGTCCCCTCCTCTCCGCGCCCGCTCCTCCTCATTCAAACCCGGCCGGCCTGAGTGGTGTTAGCTCAGTCCCGGCCGCCGCCGCGTGAGGAAATGGCCTAGGAGCCGGAGCCGCAGGTAAAGGGGGCGCGCCCCCCGCCCGCGCCAGCCGGGGCGCCCGCCCGGTCCTGCGGAGGCTCCCGCGCCGCCCCCGAGGCGCCCGGCTCTCGTTGTCTTGTCCCCCCCCAGGATGACCTGAGTTCCCCGTGTCTGCTTTCTAGCCGCTCCTCTAGGGCGCCCCCTCCCCAGCTGGCTCCTGCGCTTCCGCCCACGGGAAGGTGCGGGCGATCCCGGGCTGCATCCGCTCTTGGCCGTCACACTCACGCTGCACGATTTAGAAGGGCTTGGGGTGCGGGGTTCCCTGAGTCTCCGCCGGGAGCGGGGGTCCGGGGGTCTGCGGGGGTGGGCGGTGGGGTGCTGTTCCGAAAAGTTGGGTCGCCCCGCGGGGCGGGTCTCCCAATTTGCCCAGTCGGCCCTTGGGGCGCGGGCGGAGGGGGGACGTCGGCGTAGGGTCCCCAGCGATGCCCCGGGAAGGGCTGGGACAAGTTGGAAACGGTCAAAACAATGCGTCTGGACGGGCAGCATTGTTTCTTATTGTAGTTTTAATCTGCATTTCTCTAATAGATAGTGATGATGACCAGTTTTTCATTTGCTTATTTGCCAGTTGCAAATCTCTATTAGTGAAGTATCTGTTCACGTATTTTGCCCGTTTTTTAAAAGTTGGGTTGTTTTCTTACAATTGAAGTTTATTTTTTCTTATACTCAAAATTTTAATTCGCACATAATAAATTGTACATATTTATGAGGTACAATGTGATGTTTCAGTACATTTTACATTGCATAATGATCAAATCATGGTAATTAGCATATTCATTGCCTTAAACATTTACCATGTCTTTGATGTAAGAATATTCAAAATCCTCTTTTCTAGCGAGAATATGAGTGTATTTTAAATGTTCATCTATTTGTTTTCTCACAATCCTATAAAATGATAGCTTGAGTCAATGAGTTATGCCCCCAAGTCCTATCAACCTTGTCTATTTTAGTGAAATTTAATATTGTTTAGAAAACACTAAGCAAACATAGTTATTCAGAGAGCATAACTGAGCCCTCTGGTTATTCTCTGTAACCCACAAAGGAAGCTGAACACTTGATGTAAACTTCTTCATCAGAGTAAATAATAATCCTCTCCATTACATACAAAAGAAAAAATAACTAGAGAGATAGTCTCTGCTCTGAGGTTATTATCCTGTGGTCTTTGGTTTTGGTACATTCTCCCCCACCCCATGCCCTTCTCCCTCATCTTTAATGAGTATCTGTATGTATGGCAGAACAGTATTTTTTTTATTATACTTTAAGTTTTAGGGTACATGTGCACAATGTGCAGGTTAGTTACATATGTAAACGTGTGACATGCTGGTGCGCTGCACCCACAAACTCCTCATCTAGCATTTGGTATATCTCCCAATGCTATCCCTCCCCCCTCCCCCCACCCCACAACAGTCCCCAGAGTGTGATGTTCCCCTTCCTGGGTCCACGTGTTCTCATTGTTCAGTTCCCACCTATGAGTGAGAATATGCAGTGTTTGGTTTTTTGTTCTTGCGATAGTTTACTGAGAATGATTTCCAATTTCATCCATGTCCCTACAAAGGACATGAACTCATCATTTTTTATGGCTGCATAGTATTCCATGGTGTATATGTGCCACATTTTCTTAATCCAGTCTATCATTGTTGGACATTTGGGTTGGTTCCAAGTCTTTGCTATTGTGAATAGTGCTGCAGTAAACATACGTGTGCATGTGTCTGTATAGCAGCATGATTTATAGTCCTTTGGGTATATACCCAGTAATGGGATGGCTGGGTCAAATGGTATTTCTAGTTCTAGATCCCTGAGGAATCGCCACACTGACTTCCACCATGGTTGAACTAGTTTACAGTCCCACCAACAGTGTAAAAGTGTTCCTATTTCTCCACATCCTCTCCAGCACCTGTTGTTTCCTGACTTTTTAATGATTGCCATTTTCAAAGAATAGTATGTTTTTAAGTCTGTGCAGTCTTGGGCCAAGCTCGTTCTATTCCCCATTCTACAAGAATCACAAGAGCGCTAGGATTCTGTTTGGGGTTGCCGTGGACACAGAGTTCTTACTACAGAACTGACTTATTCTCAATAGGAGGTAAAGACCTAGAGGTGAGGTCTCTGAGCAAGGGAGTCCCATCCCATCCTCTGCCCTCTCTGTTGGCTGTTATCCTCTCATCTTCATCAGGAGAATTAAAATCATGTAAAGTTTTGGCGGGGGAACTAGATGGTGGTCTCTGCGGCCCATAGACAGGAAAGTTTGCTTATACCCAGCTGGGGGGACCACTAATTGACATTCCTTTCCCCTCCCAGGGACCTTACAGAGTCCCCTTACCCTCACGGTACTGGGGGACAACCCGTGGGTGTAAGGCCAAATAGCAATAACCTTGTTACTTGCCAGGAATTGGGTCAAGATTTGATTTAACAAGCTTGGTTTTGGGAACTAAAAAAATGAAAAAAGGAAAAGCCATAATCTTGAAAGGCAACAAGAGAGAAAACTGCTAACAGGATCTTGATTAAATTTCTCCCTCTTAGAGAATGTTGGACCGACGACACAAGACCTCAGACTTGTGTTATTCTAGCAGCTGAACACACCCCAGGCTCTTCTGCCCGGCAGTGGCTCTGGAAGCAGTCTGGTGTATAGGTAAGCATGTCCAGGGCTTATAGGGAGAAACTCCCAGAAATCCAGCTCTGCCTTGGGTTGCCCTGGTTCACGTCCAAAGATGTGCTTGGGCCACATCTCTGGAGCACAAGGTGGTAGACTGAGAGCTTTGATATTTCTACTCCTACTGCAGATGAGCTGGTATAACTCTGAAGGTATGGAATTTGCTGTTGTCTGTGACCCAGCAAATAAAAATAGAAAAATAATTCGATAGAAAAATAATAGAAATAGAAAAAATTTAAAAAACAAACCAAGCCTCATTCTATGACATTTTAGGCAGTGTGATAATATGCATATACTGGTCACTTTAATCTTTCCTACAGGGGCAGCTGGTTGCCCTAATGTTGGATGCTCTGTTCAAGGATGGTAAGCTAGTGTTCAGCTCAGGAAGCCACTCCACAGAGATGGCCACCAAAAGGGCTTCAGTGGTCCCATCTCAATTAACACCTGAAACATTGTTAATTATTACAGTGAAGGTCACAAATGGGTTTTTATTAGTGAAATTGGCGGCTTACAAAGCAGCATGATGGATGTTACAATTATATGACATTTTAAGATCTGTGAATCAACTAACGTGTTTTGGAGACAGCCCACCCTTGCATAAACAGGATAAAGGTGTATGAGGGTGGCCTGTAGTGTATATTTAGAGACGACACCCAAGGCTTGATCCTCATATGGTCCTATCTCCAGGAACGTTTAGGAAGATTTTGGCCTCTGAAACATTAGGAATCTGTTGAGAATGAAGCTTTCATGCTTGGAGTACCTAAAGTGCGGAAAGCTTACAGAAGCTTATATACTGTGTCTGCTTGCTACTGAATGTTTTGTTAAATGAATATCTGTATGTGTGGCAGATTTGGTCGGAGACCTACTTTTCATTATAACCTGGTAGCATGATTATAAAGGTGTAGCTAACCTTCAGCTAACTCAAACTTCTGTGGTTGCTCCTATCTACCAAAAAGCATTTAAGAATTCTGCATGACCACTTCAGTTTAGGACGGTTTGCAATTCTCACCTTCCTTAGGGGGCAATTTAGCTAGTTACTTATTCATGTCCCATGAGGGAAGTCATTCTGTGCCCCAAAGCAGCTTATCAAAGTATTATTTCAGACTTCATGCAGTACTCTCCCTGGAGTTCAGGTAACATCTATGGATGTCTCGTGCCCTTTTTGGAGATTAGTTTCCCAAGGAACTTGCTTAGCAATCCTGGCTTGTCACCTGAATCTGGAGTAATTTGAGTGTCTTCCAGTTCTCTTCCTCAGTAGAGGATGTCTGAAAAATCTAGTAATCATTTAATAAGGCTGCTTATGTCAGAAACTCAAATTCTTACCTTTTTGGTGTTTTGAACATTTTCCCCTGTTATGATTTATTAGTGTATTCTGCATAGACAATCCAATTATTCATCCTGCTGAAAAGTAGCGGATGCCTATAGATGCCTTTCTTTTTGTAAAAGGTTATTGTTTTTCCTGAGACCTGGATGAATTTCCAGGAGCCATTCAAGGACATGAGAACACCCACTTAGAACTTGAAAGGTTCCCCTCATGGCCCTCAGACCAGGCTAACGAGATGCGATAATTTGAACTCTGGCACTCCTTTCCTCACAGGCTGAAAGACTAGCACAATATTAATGTCTATCTGTGCTTAAAGGTTGGAGCTATTGATCAGAGTCCAAAATTAGTTTGTGTAGGGGAACTTTTCTTAAAGACATAAAAAGATACCATTTAATATATTGTTTCCAAAATGTGTTTCTCACACATTTCCACTGTGAGAAAGAGGTTCTGTGGTCAAATAGGTTAAGAAACCTCAGCACACTCTTAGAGAATCCCAGTTGTTATCAGCAGCAAAAAAATGTATGTGATCAGTTTCTTAAACTTATTTAAACGTTTGAAAAGTTAGAAAATTGTGGTGAAGAGCATTAATTCTTGAGTCTTGGGAGTGTATTACCTTGATGAGAATGTTTGTGTATTTGAAACTAAAAATGTGTATCCGTTTATATTGCCACATACTGATTTTTATGGCATAATATATGGTGTAGAGAGCAGGTTGTCTAAAAACCAATATTGGCAAAATGCTGAATATTCAGCATGGTTTTATGAAGTTGACAGATGTGGAGTGTATTTTGCATGTGTCTTAACTTACAGATGAGGAAATGAAGTAGCAGAGAGATTAAATTAGCCAAGCCAGGGGTTTCGGTGCTAGGAAGTCTTGATATTGTAAAACATAGCCATATAACTTTAAAAAAATGAATCCAGACAAAGAGAAAACAAAATCATTGTAAACACATAATCCACTTTAAGTTCACAAAATGTTTTAAACATAATTAAGGCTTGACTTATCTACTTGTTTATTTCCTACCAAGGATGACCGGGAACTAGCCATTGATATAGAAACATTCATTATTCTTACATTTTCTTTCTTTTTTCTGTGTCCCCTCTCTCTCTCTCTCTCTCTCTCTCACACACACACACAGACACACACACACACACAGTCTCAGAAGTACTAGTGCTGTATCCTGAAATTGTTTCTTTAGTTCTTGTCAAAATTCCTCCGATTTTATTTTTTGTGTCCTGAAATACTGTTGAGATTAACATCCTCATTGCCTTCCAAAATATCTGACTTTATTTTTTGTATGTGCTTTTTACTCTTTGGTAGAGTTATGGATTCACTACCAGATTCTACTGTATGCTCTTGACAACTATGACCACAATGGGTGAGTTGACTGATCTAAGTGGTGAAAAATACTGGGAGCATCAATGGCAATAACAGCTTTCTATCAGAGACTTTAAGCATCTTTGGTAACATTGTTTTTGAACCAGAGTGGAAAAAATAAGATCAGGTCAGAAGAAGGATGCTTGGTACTCAAAGATTGTTTGTGACTCTAAGTAATTAGCAGCCAAAACCTTAGGAAACTATCAGAATGCCTGTGTATGAGACTCTCTTCAAGAGTGGTCCAAGAGAGGAGAGAATCCTACTTGGAGAAAGAAGGTGGTAGCATTGGACAGGCAGCAGAGGAGCCCTCAGCAGCAAGAAAGGAGCTAAGAGACCCTGTATCTGTCCCTCACCCTTCAGAGCTGGTGCCCCAAACTCAAAGCCATCATCACATTGGATGGAGCCCCTGCCTCAGGTTTAGTCACTTGATCCTATTTGAGGAGAAGCAAAGATATCTGTGACTCATGAAGAGCATGAAGGTGGTGGAGGGACTTGATAATTAGGAAATCAAAATGGGCAAGAATAATGTGTGCCTACAAATGGGACATGAATTTGAAGGAAATTTAAGTTAAATTTGCTGCCACACATGATGATCAGGTTCAGTAATAATTGTATTTAAATCTTGATTCATTAAACTTTTTTGAGAGTCCTAAACAATTTTTATTACCAACACATAGAGACTTCTTTCTAGAGAAAAATCAAGTACCAGGTGCCAAATAACAGATTTACATGAGAATTTTTAGGGACAACACATTGTAATTTGTAGCGCAATCATAGCCAATTTGAACCAAAAAAAAAAATCGTGTATACATTTATGTTGTTTCTTACTATTTACCTTTCAATCCTTTGCACTGACTCCAATGAATTGACATCAGAAATCTGTGCTGGAGTCAACAATGAAAGGGGATGTCATAATATATATTGGAGATGGGAGGAATTCAGGTTTGTGAAATTCAGTCTCAGAATTATTCATGGGAAAATAGTTTTCTGGACACTGATTCTAAAATTCTTTCTAAAAAGTTGGGTTTTAAGTAAGCTAAGTCATATTTACCATATCTTTTAGATTCAAGGAATTTTGTTGTTCAAATAAGTTGGTCATATCACCGCTCCATGTGGCAAATCTCTAATATATTTTTGCATTTGATGTTTGAAGTAAAATGCAGCAACCTTACATAGAGCTTTATAATAAGCTTCATGTGTTCAAATATAATTGGTACTTTTATAACTGATGCTGTTTGTGTTATACTCAGAAAGTTACTTCTTATCGTAAGATTACCAATATAGTCACCAAAATATTTTTTTATATTTTGAATTAATTTTCCACATTTAAATAAAACAAGTGCTGCTGCTGTTGTTACTATTCCCTTTTAACGTCTCCCCAAATTAGTGTTTTATTCTGTATACTTTATGAGATGGCAGCTTAACAATACCCTTAATATGGCCCAAGGATTCTACAAAAGGAAATGCTGGTGTGTTTGTCAAAAGTGTTTTCTGGCTGGGCATGGTGGCTCAAGCCTGTAATCCCAGCACTTTGGGAGGCTGAGGCAGGTGGACCACGAGGTCAGGAGTTCAAGACCAGCCTGGCCATATGGTAAAACCGCGTCTCTACTAAAAATACAAAAATTAGCTGGGCATGGTGGTGCATGCCTGCAGTCCCAGCTACTCGGGAGGCTGAGGCAGAAGGATCACTTGAATCCGGGAAGCAGAAGTTGCAGTGAGCTGAGACAGCACTGCTGCACTGCAGCCTCGATGACAGAGCAAAACTCTGTCTCAAAAAAAAAAAAAAAAAAGTGTTTCCTGTGCAGATTATCTGTTCACCACTTGCAGATTTGAAGTTTACTAAGCATGTGTGATATCTAAAAGTTCATTTGAAGGATAAGTTTCAATGCCAAAAATGTTTAAAAGTGGGATATAGGAAGATGATGCAAAGATGGAATATCCAAACATTTCCATTTTCACCAGGAGGACTTAATAGAATGTCTAACAGCTACTTTTAGATATTTTTGAAATGTGAGAGGGGTGAGTTAACACAAAAGTAGACTGTGAGATTAAAATGTCTGTTCACTCTAAAATCTCAGCATTCACTTTCTTATTGTTAAGTTATTCATCAGACTCTTTTCAGAGACAACCTAAATGCAAGCTCTTAGAATATTACAACATCTTTTATATGAGATGACAGGAAATAATTTCATGGCCTTTTAAAGGATAGATGAGGGAATTGAATACCACTTTCAGATTAAGTAACTCCTCTATTGAATATTACACTGTTTTATGGTTCATATCTCTATTGTGGTTGAGAGGTATTGCCAGATTTATTCGCTGACAAGTAAATATTATTCAGTTTATAATTAATATCCATGTTGGGGGGAGATACTTTCAGTCTATGTTAAAACTATTTTCAATGTTCAGTATCCTGTTCCACATAAAACTTTCATGCCCTAGTTTTAGCATTCATTGATTTTTATGTGAATCAGTTGTAACTGTGATCATTACAAAATGGTGATTTTTTTTTTAAAAAAAGTAGTTTTTCTGTGTTTAATAAGTATCATTCTATTATAAGGAGAGCTATTCCTACCCCTATTTGTTCACTATTACTATGAACTTATAAATTCTTACATTATTTCAATGAATTACAATCCTTTCTGTCATTATTTATTTTGATCTTTAAATGGTCTCATATTTGGCCAGTGGGACTCCCTAAAAGCTAGCCCCTGTGTCCTTTTGACTTGACATGTTCCCATCACTTTTTGAGCATTTCCCCAGCCCTGGAATCAGCCATTTACCCAAAGAACCTCATGCCCTTTAGAAACCAATCAATATTTTGCATTTGGTATGCTGATTGCCATTGGCTCATTGCTACTTGTAGGCCTTTTTAATATCTAGATGAGAGTACAGATATACATATTGACATATACAGATATATGCACATATGCAACAATTTTAATATGTTTAATACACAGTATATACATTTATATGTGTTCTGTAAACTATGTATTATTGTTTTGCCTATATGTTTTTAAATTTACTTAAATGGTATTAAGTTGTATCTCATTTTGTTAGTTTTTTGCATAGTAACATAAGATTATTCTTCTTGTGCATACCTTTCGTTGTTGCTTTTAACTGGTATGAAAAATTGCACAGCATGCATCCCCTAGTGAGGAACACATATATTGCTTCCTACCATTTGCCTTCACAAAGAGTGCCGCTAAATAATTATCCTTATGCCAGACCCCTATAGACCTGTTTGAGTATTTCTGTAGGAATATGAAACAGGACTTGATGGGCCATGGGATTGCATATTTTGAATTTGACTGAATACTGCCTATTGCTCTCACAATGGTTATACCAGTCTGCATCTCCTGAATAATGCATGATGGTTCCTACACATACACATTCACAACAACACTTGACATTATCAAACTTTCCAATTTATATAATCAGTCTAATAGATGGTAACATATTGCATTATGTTTTACTTTGAATTTATGTGATAACTTATGAATTTGAGCATCATTTTATGTTCTTATAGCATTTGGGATTTCTTCTGTAATGGTCCATTCATGAACTTAGCCCGTTTTTCCACTAGTGTTCCTATCTTTGTCTTGTTAATTTACGTGTGCTGTTTTTGAATATTTTATATTTTAGAATAAGTTAATCAAATTTCTTTTAAAATTATGTTTAATTTTCAAAGTGATTATGTTACATCTGTAAACAATATAGCAAGAATTCACTCTTTTTAGTAACATTAAAAACATGGTGTTATTGTTTGGAGATTTGTACCCCCAAACCGTATGTTGAAATTTGATCCCCAATGTCGGAGGTGGGGCCTAATGGAAGGTGTTTGGAAGATGAATAGATTAATTCCCTCCCTTGGAGTGAGGGTGAGTGAGTACTCACTCTATTAGTTCTTGCAAGAGCTGGTGGTTTAAAAAGAGACAAGCGGCTTCCCGCACCTTGATTCCCCTCTTGCCATTTGATCTCTGCACGTGTCAGTTCCCCTTCATCTTCCACCATAAATGGGAGCAGCCTCAGAAGCAGATGTTGGCATCAGGCTTCTTGTGCAGCACACAACTGTGAGCCAAATAAACCTCTTTTCTTTATAAATTACCCAGCCTCAGGTATCCCTTATGGCAACACTAAACAGACTCAGATGCATGGAATCCCATTCAAAAGTTTGGACTATCGCTTTATGTATTCAAATCATCCTTCATATCAGTTTGAGACATTGAAGTTATGTGCTCTAATCCGTCATCTGCCTGTTAGCTTTGGCATTGTTGTTCTTCATTCTCTTCATGAAATAACTTTTTGCCTTATTATTTTACTTTTGAAGTTTGAAATTTTCCCACTTTCAGTCTACAAAGGTAATTTCTAATCCTCATAGTTTTAATTTACACATTTAATGCTTTAATCTACTTAGAGTCTACCCTTCAATATGGTGTTAGGTGGGGATTTGGTTTCATTTGTCTCCCAGTGGTAGGCTGATTTTCCAAATACCATCTATGAAACAGTTCATCCTTTTTCCTTGTTTATGTAATCATTGTCAATGACATATATCCACATAGGTTTATCTCTGAGCTCAATATTTTGGTCCATTGATACTTATGGCATCCCTACACCTTTTTTTATTAGCATGATTAGTTAAGTTATTAATGGAGCCTTTATATGTTGACATAGATTTTGTAGTAAGTATGTCAATATTCTAAAAAATTTTGAAAAATACCTATGTGGGCCCTGTGGTGTTTGGGAGAGGGAAGGGCTTTAAATACTAGGTTGATTTCTTTGTTACTTGAGTATTCTATTTCTATATAAATATATTTTCTTGCACTAATGTTAGTGTTTTATATCCGTCTAGGAATTTTTCCATTCCATCTAAGTTTTCACATTTATTAGCATATAATTGAATAATCTTATTTTAAAAAAATTTAGTTGTGTTCTAGTTATGCTCCCTTCTTGTACATTTTATTTGGATATTCACTCTGTTTGTTCTTGATTATTATTGCCACAGGTCTATTGTAGTAATCTTTGCAAAGATACACACTTTTGTTTTGTTAATCTTCTCCACGGTTTTTTCTTCTCCAGTTCAGTGACTTATGCTTACCTCCTTATGTTTTGCTTCCTTATTACTCCATAGACTTTGCCATGTGTTCCTTTTCCAACCTCTCTACTTAAATGTGTACTCTTTGCTTTTAACCATCTTGACTTCTTATTAATGCTTATATATTGGTAAATTTTCTTCTAAATATTGCTTCATTGTATCCTACAAACTTTGTCATGTTATTATCAATCAGTTCTTAGTATTTAAAATATTTCGTGATTTCCCTTTTAACATAAGAGGCATTCAGTAATGTGTAATTTAGTTTCAAATGTGGGTTTTTTAAAAAAAGCTAATCATATTACAATATATTCAGAGAATAGCAATATGATATTGATCCTGTGGACTTTATCCTGTGGAAGCTTTCTTTATGGTACAGAGAGCTATGATGTTGGTCTGTCCTTGTGCCCTCATAGGTCTTTTGCTGTTTCTAGAAGGTGTTAGAATTTTCTCTTTGTCTCCATTAGATACTTAAAGCTGATATATTTCTTCTTTCTTGAATTTTGGGAAATTTATCATCATAAATTTTCACATTTTATTTTGCATTTTTAGTTTTCATTTCTTCTTAGATTTCCATATTCTAGATGTTAGATAGCTGTTTTTATCCTCCATAACATTCTTCTTTAGTATGTTCTCTTTATTCTTTTCTACTATTTTCTGGGTAAGTTTCTCAATCTAATCTTCTAACTCTAAATTAATTAGCTTTTCACATGTATCCAAACTACTATTTATCCCTCAACAATTTATATTTTTTGACAGTCATACTTTTACAGTTAAGGCTTTCTCTTTTATTTTTTCTTACGACTCCCATTCTCATTTCATGTTTCAACATCTTCCTTTGTGTCCTCTTATCCTTAAGAATATTTGTCATGCTTACTTTAAAATCTTGGTCAGTGTGTTCCAGTAGTTTTGCTACAGTCGGTATGTTGTTGTTCAGCTTGTTGTATTTCTTTTTCAGTAGTTGTATTCCTCAGATATCTAATCATGTTGGTTTGTGAACTCAGATTTTTTGTGGCTATTGGCTACTCTGGTCATTTGTATTGGGGAAGGACTGAAGGACAATCTCAGTCTGCTGCTGTTCTTGCAACATAATTATTAATAGCACCCACTTTTTCCTTTCAAAAGTGTCCTGGTTTGGGCAGGAATTATATAGTCAGTCTCACTGAAATCTAGGACGTAAGCTGTGTCATTGTCAGTAAGTTTAAAATGAAGAGAAGTGATGTGCCCCAGGGTAGAGAGTCTCAGGAACCATGAAACACTGACCAGGCAACTCCTCTGGGTTGTGAAAAGGAAAAGCTTTAGACAAGGTAAATTTAAGAGTTTAATAGTGCAAGAATGATTCGTGAGTTGGGAAGCTTTTAGAACGAGAACAAGTTCTGAGAACTGCAAGCTGGCAATGTGGCCAGACAGCATTATGGACAGAAAATGGAAGTGAGGTCCAGAAACAGCTTTGTTGTTTACAACTGGTTACAGCTGGATGTTTTGTCTTATTTGAATCAGTCAGCCACCCGCAATTGACTGAAGCTCAGCTGCTGTAATTGACTGAGACACAGCTATCTGTTACAAGTGTATATTCTATTCATAATTGTGCTGTTAGTTTACACACTAGGTTAGCTTGCAGTTTGTTGCATAAGGACTCAAGTACAGAGGCAACCTCAGGGAAAATTTCATTTAATTAAACAACTATATCACCTTGAAGCTCCTGAACAAAGCAGCATTGGAGGAGACAGTCTCTCTGGTTTGTAACCTGGGCTTTGGAGATGTAGGCAGGTGGAGGAGTGAAGGCCCAAGGATGGCTCTTCAGCCCTTCCCTGTTTTCATCAGCCAGCCTAATGCTCTCCTAATTTTACTGTAACTACTCCTGGGTAGTTGCTGTTATTGTCTATGGAGACAGGCAGGGATGGTCACTGTTGTTTCCAAATGGCTAAATTGCATGTGTTTTGTTTGTTTTGTTTTTTTTAGAACAGCTAGTTTATTAGTTGTAGGGTTATTGTAGCTAATTTGAATAAAAATTAAGCCTACAAATTCACATGGTATTTGATTATGTACAATTTAGTTTAATTCTTTAGCTCTGACCCAAATGAAGTGATATCACTAAACCATGATGGAGTCCTCAGTGAAAGTGAAATGATATCACTAGCCTATAATGGAGCCATCAGTGAAAGGTGTTATGTGTGTGTATGTTCATAAAGATACACACAAATGTTAACTATAGAGTTTCTTGGACACTGTTTCTGAAGTACTGGTAGTTTCAGCTTCTGTATGTAACATCCTTTTCTTTTTGGGTCTAGTTGGATACAAGATAAGTAGATCACAAGAAGTCTACTTCTTCCTAGCTGAGTTGACTAGTAGCTAAAACTTTCAGAAAACTGTTGGATTGCCTGTGTATGAGATTCTACCAGGTTAGGCTATATTAGTTTCTAGGGCTGCTTTAAAAAAGTATCACAAACCAAGTGGCTTAAACAAAAATTAATGATCTCATAGTCCTAGGGACTAGAAATCTGAAATTGAGGTTGTCAGTAGGGTTGGCTTTTTATGAAGGCTATAAGGAAGAATCTGTTTGATACCTCTTTGCTAGCTTTTTCTGGTTGCTGGCAATCTTTGGCATTCCTTGGCAGGTAGACTCTTGTCTAGAGTAACTGCAGCTATTTGACCAAAAGTGTAAGTCCAAATTGTGTTTGTATCTGAGTAATATGCTTTTATAATTCCCCAGCCCACAGCCAATTGAGTTGATGGTAGTAACCTATGATAGAGCCACCCATGAAATGTGAATTAGAAACAAGGATTTATATACAAGTAAGTGTATATATACATATATACACATAACATACACGCATGCATACACATACACACACAGAAACATAAAACAATGAAAGAGAAAGAGAAGTTGATATTTGTAAAATTCACTGTCAGGCATATCCTTGGAAATACAGAATATCTTTGACACTATGTCTAAATCTTCTCACTGTAGGATCTATAGATAACCTTCTATTTTTTTTTTCAGACCAAATTGGATAAAAGAGGATGAAGTCATGAAAGGGATGCTTCTTCCTCTTAGTATATTTGTCACTCTAAGTTAGTAGTATCCAATCCCTTAGGAACCTCTGAGGTTTTCCATTTATGAGACTCTCCTACTACTAGAGTGGGCCAAAGGGAGAGAGAATCCTATTTGGAGCAATGGGGAGGTAACAGGTGACGGAGGAGTGAAGCACTCAGCAAAAAGAACAGAGTTCATGAAACCGTAATGGGTTCCTCACCTTCTAGCGTTCTACCACCATGTGAGGCTGGTGCCCCAAACCCAAACCCACAATCATTTTGTAGGGAGTTCCTGACTCAGGCCTACAGCTACATGGTCATATCTTCTGGGCAAGAAAGACAGCCATGATGGGTGAAAGTAAAGAAGTGACAGAAGGACTTAGGAATCAAGAATTTAGATGGGGTAAGAGGCATGTTTCCTTACAGACTGCAGTTACATTAGAAATAAATGCCACTGGCCAGGCATGGTGGCTCATATCTGTAATCCCAGCACTTTGGGAGGCCAAGACAGCTAGATCACTTGAGGCCAGGAATTTGAGACCAGCCTGACCAACATGGCAAAACCCTGTCTCTACTAAAAATACAAAAATTAGCCAGGTGTGGTGGTGCATGCCTGTAATCCCATCTACTCAGGAGGCTGAGGAAGGAGAATTGCTTGAACCTGGGAGGTGGAGGTTGCAGTGAGCCAAGATGGCTCCACTGCACTCCAGCCTCGGTGAGAGTGAGACTCCGCCTAAAAAAAAGGATACACCTAGTTCAAATTAGTGATATACACATGAATATTTAAATGTCAACCAGATAGTACATTGTAGAGTAACTGTAGCTGTTTGATTCAAAAAGTAAGTTTAGAATTACATGTGTGTCCAACTATCTACTTTTATATTCCTTTAGCCTGCATACAGAATTGACATCAATGACCTATGATAGAACCACCAATGAAATGTGAATTATAAAATATATATACACAAATATTTAAAGAAATATATATGCAGATATACATACTTCTGTCTATCTAGACACACAAACACAGGGAGAGAGAGAAAGGGAGAGAAAGAGAAAAGAGAGAGAGAATCGACAGAGAGAAAGATGAAGATTATGTGCTTGCGCTCAGGATCATCTATGGCCATACAGAATGTCTTTTACACTGTTTATAAACCTCCTAACTATAGGCCCTGCAGGCCCCTTATCCAACTTTTTGATTAAATTGGATAAAAAAGGAACAGGGCAAAAAAGGGAAACTTCTTGTTATTGTCTTGTCACCCTTAGTAGCAGGCACATACTTAGGAAAGTCAGATTTCCTGTGTATGAGACATACTAGAGTGGACCAAGGGAAGAAAACCCTATGCAGAGCAACAAGCGAGTAGCAGTGGACAGGGAGCAGCGGGGCCCTTAGGGAAAACAAACAGAGCTAATGGCCCTGGCAGGGTTCCTCACACCCAGAGCTCTACCACCATGTGAGGCTAACACTACAAGCCCACACCCATCATCACATTGTATGGGGCAGTTTCTTGACCCTGTGTGAGAGCAGAGAAGACACCTATAATGGCAAAAACAAGGCACTCATGAAGGGATTTTAGTGTCAGGAAATGAGATGGGGTCAAGGGGATTTGTATATAGAAACTGCAGCTGAATTTGAAATAAAGTAAACCATCAAATGCTTAGTTTGTGCTGTATTCAATTGTAAAGAACTAAACATCGCTTGTGAGTAATTCAAACCAGAAAGTGAAGTCCAGAATGTCATATTGGTGTTGGACGATACATATATATATTTAAATTCTGTAGCACTGCCAAGTCTAAATTCAAATCAGTACCCTGGAATGGAGCTGTCAGTGAACTGTGAGACAGAAATAATATAGAGGCTGGCCGTGGTGGCTCACGCCTGTAATCCCAGCACTTTGGGAGGCCGAGGTGGGTGGATCACGAGGTCAGGAGATCGACACCATCCTGGCTAACACGGTGAAACCCCGTCTCTACTAAAAATACAAAAAATTAGCCGGGTGTGGTGGCGGGTGCCTGTAGTCCCAGCTACTCAGGAGGCTGAGGCAGGAGAATGGCGTGAACCCGGGAGGTGGAGCTTGCAGTGAACCGAGATCCTGCCACTGCACTCCAGCCTGGGCAACAGAGCGAGACTCCCCCTCAAAAAAAAAAAAAAAGAAAAAAGAAAAAGAAATAAATCAATATAGATATAAGGATATATGAACAAGGGAGGAAACGATTATATACCATTTATATATACCTATATGCATTCATATTAAATCAAGGCATGCACCCACAGGTACAGCAGAGAAATATAAAGGTTGAGATTAGGGAAGTTCCCATTCAAGGGCATTAATGGAAAAACAAAAAACTTTGACACATGTGTCTGCATGATCTCACTATAGGATATGAAGGTGACTTTATGTCTTGAATGAATTTAGATAAAAGATGACCACATAAAAAGAAGAATGATTTTTCTTACTAGTCTGTTTGATACTCTTGAGTAAAAATAAAAACTAATTTTCAGACTGCCTATATGTGAGACCTTACTATAATGGCTGAGGACAGCAGAGAATCCTCTTTGGAAACAGGAAAGGACAGCAGGGACGGAGAGTAGTGAAGACCTCAGGAGAAGAGAAAAAAGCTAACAACCCTAGAAATGTTTTTGACCCTGCAGAACTCTGCCACAATACAGGGTGGTACTCAAAACCCCAAATACCATCATATTGGATTGTGTGCTTGACTCAGACCTGCAGTTACTTTACCGTACTTGTGGACCAACAGAGACAATCAAGTGAAGAAGTAATGGAGGGCTTTCGAGGCAGCACATTTAGTGGAATAAGAGGGCTGACTACCTCCACACAAAAGTTTAGTTTGAAATAACTGCCACCACAAAGGCTGTCACGCATTGGGACTGAGGTCATAATAAAGAGGTTTATTTAAATCTGAAAGCATTACTATTTTCCCCAGCCTAAGATGTTGGTTGCCATCATATAAATCCTCCTTTTTAATTAAAAAATGACATTTCAGAACCAAATAGTGCTATACACATGAATAGTCAGAACTTAACTGGTTTATGTGCAGATTAATGAAAGCTAGTTTTACCAGAAAAGTAAATTTTGAATTGTGTCTCCTGTCTGACTATATTCTTTTGACATCCTCTAGTCCACCCACAAATGAATTATCAGGAGTGAACCCAGAGGCACGTATGAATGAAAGGTGAGTTATGCGTACGTGTGTCTTTATTTATCGAATTATAACTGAGCATAGAAGTATTCACAGACACAGGCACATAAACAAATATATCCATCCATCCATCCATGCATCCATCCGTACACACTTCTCTCAAACACATCCACTAACAAATCCATGCATACAGTGGAAACATACAACAAGGAGACAGACGGCCGGACATTTGTGGAGTTTATTCTGGGAAGCCTGCGTGGCCATAGAGAGTGGTTTTTAACAGGATTTCCAATTCTTCTCCTAGTAGCCTTTGTAGGTAACATTGCTTCCTTTTCTAACGGAGTGATATAAAAAGGAGCAGGTCATAAGAGAGCTGCTGCTTCCTATGTTAGTGTATTTGTCACTGTTAGTTCCTAGTAAGCAGCAGCTTAAAGGACTCAGATTTCCTGAGTTTGAGAGCCTACCAGATTGACAGAAAGGAGGAGAAAATCCTATTTGCAACATGGAGGAGATAGCAGCTGACAAGGAGCAGTGAAGCCCTGGGCAGAAAAGAACAGAGCTAATGGAACATGGACTTGTCCCTCACACTCCAGAGCTCTGTCAACATATGAGGTTGGTGCTAAAACATAAACACAAGCACACCACCTCATTGGATGCAGCCGTTCCTTAGGCCCACAGCTACTTGCCTGTGTCCCATGGACAGGAAAGACTAGCATGATGGGTGAAAGGAAAGACTTGACGGAGAGATCCAGGAAGTGGGCCATAGATGGGATTAGGAGGAGGAATGCCTACCCAGTGGAGTTGAATTTAAAAGAAATTCACCCACAAAAGGCTGTCTGTCGTGCATTGGCCAGCTCCAGTGGTACAGAGTTTTGGTGAACTCTTGAGTCAGTGAGTCTTAGATAGATGTGCTGCAATCATATAAAGTATGATGTGTAGGGTAAATGGCATGGCAGATTCCAAAGAACCAAATACACACATGACTTCTCTAAGGGTAAGGCAATTTACAGGTTGAAAAGTAGTTGGAAGGTCGGGTGCGGTGGCTCAGGCCTGTAGTCCTAGCACTTTGGGAGGCCAGGGCGGGTGGATAACGAGATCAGTAGTTCAAGGCCAGCCTGGCCAACATGGTGAAACCCCATCTCTACTAAAAATACAAAATTAACCGGGTGTGGTGGCAGGCACCTGTAGTCCCTGCTACTCGGGAGGCTGAGGCAGGAGAATTGCTTGAACCCGGGAGGCAGAGGTTGCAGTGAGCCGAGATCATGCCACTGCACTCCAGCTTGGGTGACTGAGTGAGACTCTGTCTCAAAAAACCAAAAACAACAACAACAAACAAAAACAAAAAACCAAAACAAAAGCAATTGGAATTATTTTGAACTGAAAACCTTAAGTCTAGGAAGTTACATGTTGTCTTAGTATGTACATGTTAACTTCTTTGGCACGGCCCTGTGTGTGAATTGAGAGTACCTTCTAGTAGGCTGGCCAATGCACCATGTGATACCAAGGAATACAGTTATACATGTGTCTATGCATATACAAACACATACATACATGCATTCGTACACACAAGAGAGACTGAGTAGGGCTATTGAGTGTGACAGGCATCCATGGGAACAAGGAGTTCCCTTGAAACTATTTCTAGAGTCCTCTCAGAATGAGCTTTGTATGCAATATTGTTTTGTTTTTTGGATGGAGGTAGGAAAATGGGGAGGAACTCATAGAGGGAGGCTTTTTATGTTAGTGTTTGTCACATTACCTTTCTGTGAGAATGAGACTTTCCTAGTAGCATGAACCAAGGGAGAAGCGAATCCTGCTTGCAGGGAGAAGGAGATAGGAGTGGACAAAGATCAGAGAAATCCCAGCCAAAACAAAGAACAGAGCTAATAACCCTGGAATTATTTCACCCCCTCCAGAGCTCTACCGTTATGTGAGGCTGACTGCCTTTGCCCATACCCACTCTCACATGGGATGGAGCCCTTGCTTGAGGCCTCCAGCTACTTGGCCGCAACTCTTGGGCAGGAGAGACAACTAGGATGGGTGAAAAGTGAGGAGGTGATTGGAGGTGATAGAGAATGAGGAACTCAAATGGGATTATAAGAAGGGAGACTCAGGAACTAAATTTGAACTAGAATTAAATGCTCTCCAAAAATGCTGTTACACCTTGAGGTGTAGATACCCTTACTTAATCTGCATGCATCGCTATGGTCACAGCCTAAAATGCTCACTGTTGGCATATGAAACCTCATTTCTAATAAAAAGACAAATGCCATCCCAGGTCAATTTAGTGATATACATACATGTGAATAATAAAAGTGTAACTGGGGAATGACACATAGACTAACTGTAGCTATTTGTTGCAAAACATTAGAATTACGCATTGGGTCTGACTCTGACCATATTTGTCCTTTAGTCCTGATCCGACTGACCTGGCGGGAGTCATCATTGAGCTCGGCCCCAATGACAGGTGAGTTATAAAAGATGTACACATGACCAGGTGCAATGGTTCACACCTGTAATCTGAGCACTTTGGGAGGCTGAAGCAGGCCGATACCCTGAGGTCGGGTGTTCGAGACCAGGCTGGCAAACATCGTGAAACCCTGTCTCTACTAAAACTACAAGAACTAGCCAGGTGTGGTGGCAGGTGCCTCTAATCCCAGCTACTCAGGAGACTGAGGCAGGAGAATCGATTGAACCTGGGGAAGTGGAGTTTGCAGTGAGCTGAGAACATGCCGCTGCATTCCACCCTGGGCAGCAGGAGCGAAACTGTTGCAAAAATGAAAAAAAAAAAAGATGCACACACACACACACAAAACAGTGACAGAGAAAGAGACCGAGATTAGTGGGATTAACTCTCAGATGTGTTCCTGATAATACAGTGTTTCTTTGACACAGGTTCTTTATCATCTCCCTGTATCATGTATAGATAACTTCCACATTTTTACATTGTTTAGAAAAAAAGAAACTGACTAGAGAGAGAGGCTTCCATCTGTTACTGTCTTGTCACCCTTAGTAAGTAGCAGGCAAATGCTTTGGAAAAGCAGATTTTCTGTGTACCAGACATACCAGAGTAGGCCCAGGGAAGAGAGAATCCTGTTTGGAGTGAGGAGGAGGTAGGAGTACTTGGGGAACTGTGAAGCCTTCAGCAGAAAGCAACAGAGCTATGAGCCTTGGAGGTGTTCACCACCCTCCAGAACCCTGCCACCACAGAGGCTGGTGCTCCAAACCTAAAATCACCATCCTATTGGATTGTGCCCCTGTGTCAGACCTCTAGTTACCTGACCCTTTTTGTGGGACATGAGAAACCACCATGCTGGGTGAACATAAGGAGCTAATGGAGGGCCTTTTAAGCAGGACATTGAATGGAATAAGAGGGCTGACTACCTACAAATTGGAGTTGAGTTTGAAATAACTACCACCACAAAGTCTGTCACACATTGGGACTGAGGTCATAATAAAGAGGTTTACTTAAATCGGGAAGCATTACTATTTTCCCCCGCCTAAGATTTTGGTTGTCGCCATATAAATCCTCATTGCTAATAAAGAGGAAAAGACATTCCAGGTTCCAGTAGTACTATACACATGAATAGTCAGAAATTAATTGGTTTCTGTCTAGAGTAATGAAAGGTAATTTTTCCAAAATATAAATTCAGAATTATGTCTCCTCTCTGACTGTTTTCTCTTATCATCCACTAGTCCACAGACAAGTGAATTTAAAGGAGCAACCGAGGAGGCACCTGCGAAAGAAAGGTGAGCAATAAATAGTTAAAGTCACCCGTCAGCATAAGTGTGCATAGAACTATACACACACAGGCACATGAGCAAGTATACCCCATCCATCCATCCATCCATCCATCCATCCATTCATCCATCCATCCATCCATCCATCCATTCATCCATCCATCCATTCATCCATCCATCCACACGTCTCTTCAACACACTTACACAAACTAATCCATGCACATGATGGAAACATAGACCAAAGAGAAAGGAGACTGGTGGACATTTGTGGAATTTACTCTCAGGAGCCTGCATGGCCATAGAGATTTTTTTTTTTTAACAGAGTTTCCAATTCGTCTCATTGTAGCATTTGTTAGTAACTTTGCATCCTTCTTTGGTGGAGCTCTATAAAAAGGAGCAGGTCGTAGGAGATTTGCTTCTTCCTGTAATGTATTTGCCACCCTTAGTTCCTACTAAGCAGTTTTTTTATGGGACTCAGATTTCTGATAGGAATTCATTGGTTTCTGTCTAGAGTAATAAAAGCTAATTTTCCAAAAAAGTAAATTTAGAATCGCGTCTCCTATCTGACTGTATTCTTTTTTTTTTTTTTTTTTTTTTTTTTGAGACGGAGTCTCGCTCTGTCGCCCAGGCCGGACTGCGGACTGCAGTGGCGCAATCTCGGCTCACTGCAAGCTCTGCTTCCCGGGTTCACGCCATTCTCCTGCCTCAGCCTCCCGAGTAGCTGGGACTACAGGCGCCCGCCACCGCGCCCAGCTAATTTTTTTTTGTATTTTTAGTAGAGACGGGGTTTCACCTTGTTAGCCAGGATGGTCTCAATCTCCTGACCTCATGATCCACCCGCCTCGGCCTCCCAAAGTGCTGCTGACTGTATTCTTTTATCATCCTCTAGCCCACACACAAGTGAATTTAAAGGAGCAGCCCGGGTGTCACCTATCAGTGAAAGGTGAGTTATAAATACATGAAGACACACGTATGCATAAGAGTGCATAGAGCTATACACACACCAAGCACATACACAAATATATCCATCCATCTTCATCCATACACACTTTTGTCAACACATTTACACAAACAAACCCATGCACAAAATGGAAACACAAAACACGGAGACAGATGGACATTTGTGGAATTTACTCTCAGGAGCCTGCATGGCCATACAGAGTGTTTTTTAACAGGGTTTCCAATTCTTCTCATTGTAGCATTTGTAGATAACTTTGCACCTTTTTTTGATGGAGTTGTATAAGGAGGTCAGTTCGTAGGAGAGCTGCTTCTTCCTGTTAGTGTATTTGTCACCCTCAATTTCTGGTAGGCAATTTTTTAAGGGATTCAGGTTTCCTGAGTTTGAGACCCTACCATAGTGTTCCAAGAAAGGAGAGAATCCTATTTGCAACATGGAGGAGATAGCAGCCAATAAGGAGTAGTGAAGCCCTGGGAAAAAAAGAATGGAGCTAATGGAACATGGACTTGTCCCACACACTCGAGAGCTCTGTCCACATGTGAGGTTGGTGCCTAGACCCAGCCCAAACCCACCACCTCATTGGATGCCGCTTTCCTCAGGTGTGCGGGTACTTCACTGTGTCTCATGGGCAGGAGAGACTAGCATGATCAGTGAAAGGAAGGAGGTGGTGGAGGGTTTTCCCAGTCATGTGAAAACCTCTCCTGGAAATAAATCATAAAGGTGTAAGTAATATGGAAAACCTGATTCAAGTTAATTATAGTGTAATGCTCAAGAAACCTTGCAAAATGAGATTTTACAGAAGGAATAAAAGGATTGTGTTTAATCAGTGGCTGATTAAGGAAACATCTAGGTGAGAATTCTGTAGTTGCTCATTAAGCAATAGCATGTGAGTTTTGTATGTAGTATTGATTTTTAAGCCAATAAATAAATTTTTAAAAGAATTTATTTTATAGGACGTTGGAGGCATGGGCGAATTAAAATGTATTTCTATTATTATTGTATTTTTTGAGATGAAGTCTCGCTGTTGCCCAAGCTGGCGTGCAGTGGCGTGATCTCGGCTCACTGTAACCTCCATCTCCCGGGTTCAAGTGATTTTCCTGCCTCAGCCTCCTGAGTAGCTGGGACTGCAGTCATGTGCCACCATGCCAGACAAATTTTTTGTATTTTTGGTAGGGGCGGGGTTTCACTATATTGGCCAGGCTGGTCTTGAACTCCTGCCCTCGTGATCCACCCGCCTCAGCCTCCCAAACTGCTGGGTTTACGGTCATGAGCCATCAGATTGTATGGAGGCCCTGCATTGGGTCTGTAGTTACTTAACCCTATCTGAGGGGCAGGAAAGACATCCATGATTGGTGAAGAGTTACTGGAGGTATTTGAACATGAGAAGGCAGAAAATTACAAGGGCGAGCAAGGTGGGTGTTTACAAACTGAAGTTGATTTTATGTAAATTTTGCCAGAAACAGTAACTTGGGGATTAGGTTTAGGAGTAAAGAAATGTATATAAACTTGATTCATTAAGTTTTTTTCACAGGCCGAAAAATTTCATTACAAACATCTAAAACCTCGTTTCCAGAGAAAAATTAAATACCATGTTTCAAATAAATAACTGATTAATGTCCGTTTTTCAGGGGAACTAGATTATAAATTGTGGAATAATTATTGCTAATTTGTGTCAGAAAATTAAGTCTAGGATAACATGTGGAGTCTTGCTATGTTCATTTTTAATCCTTTAGCTATTACCTCATTGAATTAAAAAGAGTAATGTGTGGTAGAGTCATCAATGATGGGTGAAATTTCAAAATACGGAGAGAAAGAAGAGAGGCATATATTAAGATTGGTAAAATTCATTCACAAATGAAGTAATACAGAACTGCACTTAAATTGTGATTCATTAGTTTGTTTGTTAAGGCCCAGGAGCACCTTTACATAATATAAGGTTTTCTTCTAGGAAAAAATGATATATTAATAGTAGATTCCAAATCATTGACATACACATTTTGAGGATTCAGCCAGTTTATAAATGTAGAGCAAATGTACATAATTTCAACCAGAAAAGTATGTCTCTGAAGTCACTTGACCTGAAGTGTACATTTTTAATCGTTAGCACTGGCCCGGATAAAATGACATCAGTAGTCTTTCACTAATTTGATATATATTTGATATAACTCACCTTTCAATGGTGGTGTCATTGAAAACTACTGACATTATTAATTTGGGTCAGTGCTAAAGGATCTATCTACACACACACACACACATATAACACACATGTATATGTGTGTGTGTGTATATATACAGATATATCTTTTAGCTATATATGTAATATATATAGATATATAAATATGTATTTGTGTGTATATAGATATAGATACACATATCTATATACATGTCTACATATGTGCATATTTAAATGTGTGTATATATATCTATATATACATATCTATATATAGATATATTCTTTAGCACTAACCCAAATAACATCAGTAGTCATGTATATATCCTTTAATATATATATGAGCATCTGTGTATATATATGTAAACATATATGTATATATCCTTTAGCATATATATGTATATATACACATATATAGTTTATATATACATATATGTGTGTGTATATGCAGGTATATCTTGTTTTATTGTGCTTTATTTTATTGCCCCTCAGATATTACTTTTTTGTAAACTGAAGGTTTGTAGCAACCCTACATTGAGCAAGTCTCCTGGTTTTATTTTTCCAACAGCGTGTTCTCACTTTGTGTCTCTTGTCACATTTTAATAATTCTTGCAGTATTCCAAACTTTTTATTATCATATCTGTTATGGTGATATGTGATCAGTGATCTTTGATGTTACTATTGTAATTGTTTTGGGGCAACACGAACCATGTCCATATTAAGATGACAAGCCTAATCAATGACATGTTTGTTGTGACTGCTCCACTGACTAGCCATTCCCCCATCTCTCTCCTTCTCCTTGGGCCTCCCTATTCCCTGAGACACAACAATATTGAAAGTAAGCCATTTAGTAAGCCTATGATGGTCTCTGAGTGTCCTAGTGAAGGGAAGAGTCACATGTCTCTCACTTTAAACCAAAAGCTAGAAATGATTGTGAGGAAGGCTAGACTTCTTGCACCACTTCAGCCAAGTTGTGAATGTAAAACAAAAACAAAAACAAAACAAAACAGAAAAGTCAAAAAACTTCTTGAAGAAAATTAAGACTGCTACTCCAGTGAACATACAAATGTTGAGAAAGCAAAACAGTCTGATTGCTAATATGGAGAATGTTGTAGTGGTCTGGATAAAGGATCAAACCGGCCACAGCATTCCCTTAAGCCAAAGCGTAATCCAGGACAAGGCCCTCACTCTCTTTGATTCAGTGAAGCCTGGGAGAGGTAAGGAAGCTACAGAAGAAAAGCTTGACGCTAAAAGGTTTGTTCATGAGGTTTAAGGAAAGAAGCCATCTCCATCACATAAAAGTGCAAGGTAAACAGCCAGTGCCGATGCAGAAGCAGCAGCAAGTTATCCAGAAGATCTAGGTGAGATAACTGATGAATGTGGCCAAACTAAACAACACATTTTCAATGTAGACAAGATAGCCTTTTATTGGAAGAAGATGCCATCTAGGACTTTTATATTTAGAGAGGAGAAGTCAACGCATGGTTTCAAATCTTCAAAGCACAGGCCAATTCTCTTGTTAGGGGCTAATGAAGCTGGTGACTTTAAGTTGAAGCCAACAATCATTGACTATTCTGAAAATCCTGGGGCCCGTGCGAATTATGCTAAATCAAGCAAGATGGGTGACTAGAGATGTCTGGTGCTCATCTCCCCTACAAGAAAGAACCGAGGCAAGAAATACACATCTGAGATTTGATTAGAGTATCAAAGGGATAGTCCTGGAGTGCAGCAAAGGAGTGGAGACACATCTGTGGTGACTGAAAGTTGCCACAGCATGGAAGCACTCAGCCTGTGCAGCCCCTTCTGCCCCATCTGGATTGAATTGGCCCAGAGACAGGAGGGACTTCTCATTGCAGGGTGAAGGTAGGCAGAAGATCCCCACCAGCCCCACTGCCATCACAAACACAAAGTCTTTACAACAGGAGAATCTCACAGTCTTTGCAAGCCCTCAGGCCAGTTTGGAGTATTGCCAAGAATTGACACAGCTGCATGTCCTGGACTAGGAGTACAAGGTGAAGACTTCCCACCCCCAGAGGCTTAAGCTGCAGCAACACAGCACCATCTGGAGAACAGAGTCATCTCTTGAGTGTGCCCTCCTCTGGGGGCCAGTAGCCACTGTGCCTCTCCAGCACTGGAGCTTTATCTTCAGTACACCAAGCCCACATGGGTGGGTTAAAGCCACAATCCCAGCTGTGTGGAGGTTGGTCCCAGGACTGGCTGTAACTCAAGTAATGCAGAGCAGGGAAATCAACCCCCACCACCACACTTCCAGACAGAGGAATAATCTGCAGTCCCATCCAGGGTAAATTCACTCTTAAGACAGCCAAACCACTACATGCCCTCTCCCAAGTGGGAGAGGCCCCTAAGCCTCTGAGCAGCTGATACACCCACAGGTCAACAGAGTGACTATGAGCCCATGCTCAGGACCTGAGAAACAGCCTTGCGGGCCCCATCAACCACAGACATGCTCCTGGCGTGCCCAGTAGCCCTCTGCTTTTAATAAGGGCCTGAGAAACAGTCCCACAGGCTGCCCCCAGCAGGCACACCACCGAGTGGGCCTTGCACCTGTATCTCAGACCTGAGAGACAAGCAACTGTGTATGCCCAAGTCTCAGGGCCGAGAAACAACCCTGGGAGCTTACTCAGGCCAACTAAGCAGCCATATACCTGTGTCCCAGCTTGAGGAACAGCCCTTTAGGCCACCCCACACAGAAACACTCCCAGGCCAACTAAGCAGCTGTGCAACCTTGGGTGAGCCTGAGAAATAGTCCTGTATCCATTCCCAGCAGATGCACCTCCAGACCAGCCAATCAGCCATGAATGCCCATGTCCTGGACCTAAGAAAGAGCTCCATGGGCTACTCCCAGAAGACATGCCCTTAGGCCAGCCGAGCAGCCTCGTGTCCACATCCTGGCTCACAGAAGTAGTCCCCAGGGCTTCCCCTGGCAGGCACCACCCAGGCCAGCTGAGCAGCAGTGTGCACACATCCTGAGCTAGAATAGCTCTATGGACTACCCCCAGCAGACACATATCCAGGACAGCTGAGAAGTCATTTGACTGTATCCCAGGCCTGAGAAACACCCCTCTTGGCCAGCCCTGGCAAAGATACCTTCAGTCCAGCTTAGCAGCTATGCACCTATATATTTGGTCCATGAGTTTCCCCCAGCAGACTGGCCCCAGGCCAGATGAGCAGCTGTGTACCCACATACCAGTTATGGGAAACAGCCCTTCAGGCCACTCCTGGAGTGCATGCTTCCAGGCCAGGCAAACAGCTGTGTGCCTGCATCCTGGGCCTGAGAAACTGTCCTGCAAAGCACATCTGGAAGTCATGCCCTGGTTGAGCAACTGCATCCCCATGCTTCTGGCTAGAGTGATGGCACCATGGCCAGCGGCATAAAGCCATACTCCAAGTTTTCTGACCCACTCTATGCCTGCACACACCCTTACCCTGAGAAACAGCCCAGTGAGCCCACCCCTGGCAAGGCTGCACCACCATCACTACAAACTTCCTTAACCTAGGCCACTGAGTAACTTGCAAATGTTACTAGTGTGGATCACAGCTGAATAAACTACATGGAGACTACACTTACTGCATCCATGTAGAACCAAGGCCGGTATACCCCAATGAACTGACATCCAAGACCCATTCATACAAATAAATTCATACAATTTTACTCCATAAAATTGGAAAAGGTGACTTTTTCACCAGATGCGTAGAAATCAATTTAGAAACACAGCAACCATGAAAATGCAAGAAAACATGTCACCTACAAAGGGAAATAATAATTATCCAGTAATAGAACCTAATCATAAACATATGATGTGACAGAAAAAAGAATAATCTTAAGGAAACTCAGTGAGATGTAAGGTAATACAGATAGACAAGTCAATGAAATCAGGTGAAAGAGAAATTCAGTAAAGATACAGATATCATAAAAATAACCAAACAGAAGCCCTAAGAGCTAAACAGTTCAATGGATGAAATGAAAAAATACAATCAATGGCTTTACAGACAAGAACAAGCAGAAGAAATAATTTCTGAACTTGAAGACAAGTCTTTTGAAATAACACAGACAGGCAAAAAAAGGATAAAAAAGAATGAAAAAAGCCTACAGGATTTATGGGACACCATTAATTTGGTCAAATATTCATATTATGGGCATTCCAGAAGGAAAAGAGTAGAGAAAATATGAGGAAAACATATTTAATAAAATAGCGTAAAACTTCCTAACTCTTGAGGGAGAGCTAGACATCTAGTTCCAGGAAGATCAAAGAACCCCAAATACATTCAACCCAGACATTATAGTCAAATTGTGAAAAATCAAAAGACAAAGATTTTTTAAAATAGCAAGAGAAAAGTAACACACTTATAATGGAATCCCCATTAGACTAACAGCTGATTTCCCAGTGGAAACCTTAGGCTAGAAGAGAATGGGATGATACATTCGAAGTTCTGAAAGAAAAAAATCTTTCAGCCAAGAATATTATAGCCAGCACAGCTATCCTTTACAAATGAAGAAGACATAAAATCTGTCATAGATAAACAAAAACCAAGATAATTCATCACCACTAGACCAACATTACAAGAAATGCCCAAGGGAGTCTTACATCTGGAAGTAAAAAGATGATAACCACCATCATGAAAACATGCAAAACCTCCTCACCTACCAATAATAACTTTGAATGTTAATAGATTAAATACCCCATGAAGGATATAGACTTACTGAGTGGATTAAAAAATAAGACCCCACTATATTTTATCTAAAAGAAACTCACTTTACCGGTATAGAAACACATAGACTGATAATAAAGGGATGGAAAAATATATTCTATGCAAATGGAAGCCCAAAGTGAGCAGGGATAGCTATACTTGTATCAGACAAAACAGAGTTCAAGTTAAAAACCATAAAAATTGACAAACAAGATTATTATGTAATAATAAAGGGTTCAATTCAGCAAGAAATATAATTGTAATATGTGTATAATTGTAAATATGTATGCACTCAAACACCAGAGCACCTAGATATATAAAGCGAATATTACTAGATCTAAAGAGGGAGATAGACCCCATTACAATAAGAGTTGGGCACTTCCGTATCCCACTCTCAGCATTGGACAAATCATCTAGACAGAAAATCAACAAAGAAACATCAGACTTAAACTCCACCATAGACCAAATGGACATAAATAACAAACATGTACAGAACATCTCACCTAACAGCTGCAGAATACACATTCTTTTCATCAGCACATGAAACATTATCTAAGATAGACCATATGTTAGGCTACAAAACAAGTCTCAACAAATTTTTAAAAATTGAAATTCTATCAGGTATCTTATCTTACCACAATGGAATAAAACTAGACATTCATAACAAGAGGAACATTCAAAACTATACAGACATATGGAAATTAAACAACATGCCCTTGAGTTACAGTGAGTGAAGAAAGAAATTAAGAATGAAATTTAAGAATTCCTTGAAACAAATGTAACTAGAAACACAATATACCAAAACAGGGGACGCAGCAAAAGCAGTTATTAAGAACTATGTTTTTAGCTTCATCCGTGTCCCTACAAAGGACATGAACTCATCATTTTTTCAGCAAACTGTCGCAAGGACAAAACACCAAACATCACATGTTCTCACTCATAGGTGGGAATTGAACAATGAGAACACTCAGACACAGGAAGGGGGACATCACACACTGGGGCCTGTTGTTGGGTAGGGGGAGGGGGGAGGGATAGCATTAGGAGATATACCTAATGTAAATGACGAGTTAATGGGCGCAGCACACCAACATGGCACATGTATACATATGTAACAAACCTGCACATTGTGCATATGTACCCTAGAACTTAAAGTATAAAAAAAAAAGTATATTTTTAGCAATAAATGCCTGGATCAAAAAAACTAGAAAACTTTCAAATAAACCACTGAACAATTCTACCTCAAGAAACTAGAATAGTAAGAACAAACCAAACCCCAAATTATTAAAAGGAAATAAATAATGAAGACCAAACAGAAATAAACACATTTGAGGCAAAAATTACAAAAGGTTAACAACAAAAAGGTTTAAAAAATATCAACAAACCATTAGCTAGACTAATTAAGAAAAAGGGAAGACCCAAATAAGTAAAATCAGAAACAAAAAAAAAGAGACCTCATAACAGATAATGACAGAAATAAAAATAATTATTAGAGACTATTATGAGCAACTCTACAATAAATTTGAAAACCTAGAGGAGGTGGACAAAATCCTTGACCCATACGACCTACCAAGACTAAACCAAGAAGAAATAGAAAACCTGAACAGACCAAAAACAAGTAATGAGATTGAATCAGTAATAAAAAGGCTTTCAACAAAGTCCAGGACCTGATGGCTTCACCACTTAATCCTCACTTGTGAAAGGAAGAGCCATTTGCTACAGCAAACTTCATTGTTGTCCTATTTTAAGAAATTGTCTCAGCCACTCTGACCATTGGCAACCACCACTCTGATCAGTCAGCAGCCATGAACATGGAGGCAACGCCCTCCACCAGCAAAAGGTGATCATTAGCATTTTTTAACCAATAAAGTAGTTTTTAATTAAGGTATATACATAAGTTTTTCGAACATAATGCCATTGCAAACTTAACAGGCTACATGTAGGGTAAACATAACTTTTATATGCACAGGGAACCCAAAACATTTGTGTGAGTTGCTTAATGCAGTTTTTGCTTTATTGCAGTGGTCTGGAATGAAACCCACAATGTCTTTGAGATATGTCTACACACATATTATTTATATATTATATATCCATATACATATTCTTTTATATATCTTTATATGCATATATATAGAAAGAGACAGAGAGAGAAAAGAAGATAAAAATATGCAAAATTCAGTGTTGGGAGTATCCATGAGGAAAGAGTTTCTGGTTAATGATTGTAATTTTCTCTCTTAAATATTAGGTCTTCCAGTGAGCTAAGTCATGTTTACTATATCCTTTAGATTCATGGGATTCTTGCTATTCAAATATATTTTTCATCACTATTTTGTGTAGCAAATATCTAATGATATATTTTTGCTTTTTTTTTGGTGGCTAAAGTGTGTTAGCACGACTTTCCAAGTTTGAAGTTGAAGATGCTGAAAATGTTGCTTCATATGAGTAAGTCAGTTTGAAGTTTGAAAGGAGGGAGCCATTGATGGATCTCTTATCTTTAGTTAAACAGGGCTTCCGCTGAGGCAAGAAGGAAAAAGGGAAACTATGGAAAGATATCAAAATGTATGGGTGGGAGTGTACACCGTATTTACTCCAGTTGAATTCTTAGACAAGTATTATTTTGAAAAAAAAATTCCATCCATTCAGAAATAAATGTTCTTCTAGCTTGAAAATGTAAAAAGTATTCTTAGAGGAAATTAATTCCATTAAAAGTTTTTTTTAAAAAAACAGGAATGCAGAATGCTACTTAACTCATCAATAGTGAACGTTTCTCATTTTTACTAGATATGGTGTGATTCCCAATTTTGTACATTTTGCCTATGAGCAAATAGTATTGATAGCAAAAGCAAACATATTTTGCTGACTAAAGACCTCTTTATGCTCATTGGGATTTTATTCTTATTTGTTTCTAATCTCACTAGAGTACTTCCTGTTGCACTGACCTGAAGGCATTTTATCATGTACTCACTGTAATGAAACAATACATTCTTAAACTGGCTTGTGTCTGAACTGCAGACATATTCAGGAGATTTTTCTTCTGCTTCTTTCTTGCCCAGTTGTATAACCATTCACCAGCTTGTGTCAATGCTGGAGAGGAAGTACTGCCATAGAGGAAGTTAACTCACCATGGTTGTAAGCTGTTGGTGTCTAAACAAAGAGGGCAAATAAAAATAGTTCTTCAAATTACCCTGAATTTGCCACTGAATTAAACTGTGTGTCTGCAGATTAGCTATACGTTTTCTGTAATGGAGCTGCCCAGGGCTGAAACAAAATTAGACCGATTAAGCAAGGCAAGCATTTCCTTCTTTCCCCACTCCAAACAAAATAAAGCAGGTTTTCATTTTATTTTATTTTTAAATTACAAAGTCTCATTACATAGATATAGGAGGAATTTGCAGTAGTCCCTGTGAGAAATGCTGGTGTTTCATAACAGGGGGATGATATTGGATTTATAGTAAAAGCTGGAATCAGTGCTTGCCTTTGGCATCATATATTCATTCACCTGATACTCAGCAAGTCACTAACCCTCTTTAACTTTCAGATTATTCAAATGTAAACTGGCTATAATGCAATCCATGTACTGGATATTGTATTTAAAAAATTAGTAATAAAATGAAAATAACATGCAAAAATACTTTGAAAACTCTGTAGTTCTGTAAATAGGTTTTATTCTAAAAACTAAAAATAATGTAAGAGTTCATTAAAGGAAAATCTGAAAATACAATCAACAAATCTACCCACATTTAGTCATTCTTAAACTTTGATGCATGCACTTCTAAGTTCTTTAAGCATATACTTTTTTTGTTTACAGATATGAGACCATACTTATTCTTTTGTAAATAACCTTATTAATGACATCATGGCTATATTTTTTTGTTAATATATATTCATGTGCACTTACAACATTATTTGTAACAGTTGTGTGATATTTCATGGTGTAGATGTGCTATAATTCATTTAATAGTCAGATATTGCTGAACAATTCAGTTTTTTTACAAGTTTTTAACTTACAAAAATGAATATATTTGAGGCTAAATCTCTGTATATTGTTGGTTATTTGCTTGTTATAAATTCTCAGAAGTGGAAATTCTGTGTCAAAGGGAATGATTGTGACGCTATTGATATTGATATGTGCTTTAACATCAAGATGCAAAGTGTACATTTCTCCCCTCCCACACTTAACACTAGCCATCATTGATTTCTCTGATATTAGTAAATATATTTGTTCTAATGCATGTTCTTTGACACACCTTCATTTATCCTTTTCTGTCTTTGGACTGAAAAGTTAAATCTATTGATCCTTTTTCTATTTTATGTAATATAAGCAATTTCTCCCAGGTTGTCTTGCTTTTCACTATATAAAAGCATTTAATCCTCATGTAATCAAATGTATCTGTACTTTTCTTTGTGATTTTGCCTTTAATGTTATTCTCAGAAAGTCCTTCTCACCCCAAGATTTTAAATATATTCACCAAAATTTCTGTTTTGAATTTATTTTCTTCATTTAAATAAAATATCTGCCCTGAATTTACTTTGTCTTAAGGTATAAAGTGTAGAAATTTACTTTTCTCCTAAGTGACTCATAGTTTTTTCAGCATGAACATGTCATCCCTCTGTATTGTCCTTACCCTGTTTTAGTGATCTAGAGTGAGCAGGAAGACCAGAGTCACTACAGTGTTTTTCGTGCTTTGCATCATGGCCACCTCCCTACCCCCAGAGTCTGCACAAGAGAAAAATGTGTCCAGTGGGAGAGATAGCACCTGCCTTCAATACAAATCCCATTTCATTAAACATGGTCTTGTTAGTGTCATGTAGCTTCCACCTTCTATTGATAAAAAATGAGTCATTCATGTTCATAGTTAATATTTCTGCTTTTAATTCAACTTTGATATTATTGGAACTTTCAGTGTATTAAGGTTTAGTATCTCATATCTTTTTTTCTCTCTTTTTTTTTTGAGCCGGAGTCTCGCTCTGTCACCAGGCTGGAGTGCAGTGGCTCCACTCAGCTCACTGCAACCTCCACTTCCCAGGTTCAAGCGATTCTCCTGCCTCAGCCTCCTGAGTAGCTGGGACTACAGGCATGCACCACCACGCCCAGCTAATTTTTTGTATTTTTAGTAGAGATGGAGTTTCACCACGTTGGCCAGGATGGTCTCGATCTCTTGACCTCATGATCCACCCACCTTGGCCACCCAAAGTGCTGGGATTACAGGCGTGAGCCACCGCGCCTGGCCGCTATCTCTTTATTTTTGAATTGTCATTTAAATTTAGTTTTTGTCTCTCATGTATAGCATGTAATGCCTTTAATTTCAAAGTTATCTGAGAGTATTTCTCAATATGCAATATGAGAGTAATATGTTTGTATTTATGATTTCTGGTACGTTTGGTTTTATTTATCATCTTTTTCTTTATTAAAAATACTTTGATATTTTCTTTGTAAATTTGTCTATGTTTTGCTATTATCTGATTTGTTTTCATCCCTTGCATTTTTTGTTGATATGCAAGTCAGAAGCCCATTTCTAGTCTATCAATGTTTATATTTAAATGTTTAGAAAACATAATTATACCATTTTTTCCATCAATATCGAGAATAAAACTGGACTCGTACCTGTGAAAGATAAGAAATGCAACCTGCCTTTACTTCTATCTTCTTCCACACCTTGAATCCTAGTGTAAGAATGCCTAAAAATTCAAATCAATACTATTATTCATGATTTTATATTATTTATCTTTACTTTTAGAATCATTTATTTACATTTTCACCTGCTACTTTTTTTTATTATTATTATACTGTAAGTTCTAGGGTGCATGTGCACAATGTGCAGGTTTGTTACATATTCATGCATGTGCCATGTTGGTGTGCTGTACCCATTAATTCATCATTTACATTAGGTGTATCTCCTAATGCTATCCCTCCCCCATCCCCCCACCCCATGACAGGCCCTGGTGTGTGATGTTCCCCTTCCTGTGTCCAAGGGTTCTCATTGTTCAATTCCCACCTATGAGTGAGAACATGCAGTGTTTGGTTTTCTGACCTTGCGGTAGCTTGCTGAGAATGATGGTTTCCAGCTTCATCCATGTCCCTACAAAGGACATGAACTCATCCTTTTTTATGGCTGCTTAGTATTCCATGGTGTATATGTGCCACATTTTCTTCATCCAGTCTATCATTGTTGGACATTTGGGTTGGTTCCAAGTCTTTGCTATTGTGAATAGTGCCGCAATAAACATACGTGTGCATGTGTCTTTATAGCAGCATGATTTATAATCCTTTGGGTATATACCCAGTAATAGGATGGCTGGGTCAAATGGTGTTTCTAGTTTTAGATTCTTGAGGAATCGCCACACTGTCTTCCACAATGGTTGAACTAGTTTACAGTCCCACCAACAGTGTAAAAGTGTTCAGTTTCTCCACATCCTCTCCAGCACCTGTTGTTTCTTGACTTTTTAATAATCACCATTCTAACTGGTGTGAGATGGTATGTCATTGTGGTTTTGATTTGCATTTCTCTGATGGCCAGTGATGATGAGCATTTTTTCATGTGTCTGTTGGCTGCATAAATGTCTTCTTTTGAGAAGTGTCTGTTCATATCCTTTGCCCACTTTTTGATGGGGTTGTTTGATTTTTTTCTTGTAAATTTGTTTGAGTTCTTTGTAGATTCTGGATATTAGTCCTTTGTCAGATGAGTAGATTCCAAAAATTTTCTCCCATTCCGTAGGTTGCCTGTTCACTCTGATGGTAGTTTCTTTTGCTATGCAGAAGCTCTTTAGTTTAATTAGATCCTGTTTGTCAATTTTGGCTTTTGTTGCCATTGCTTTTGTTCACCTGCTACATTTTTGTTCTTCATTTTGATTCATTGCTCAGCTGACTCAAGCACTTTGAGTAATTGTTTTTAGGAAAGGTACATGGAGGCTATGCTTCGTGTTGCTTCATGTTGGAGTGTCTGTCTGTTGCTCCCGAGTGTGAACAGTACTTTTCCTGGATATGGATTTACTGAGTCATAGTTATTTCCCTGCAAACTCTGCACATAACTGCTTGAAGCTTCATTTACATAGTACTCTTTTTTTAAGCAAAAAAGTCTCAATTGTGTATTTACTTGGTATAGTTTCAGGGTACACTGAAACAGATTAAGGGGCTAAAGCCACCCAAGCCACTTCTTCATGCCTTCATAATCTGTCAGACTTGGTTCTGTATGGTGACATTGTCAAGTGAGTTCAGATTTATGACATTTCCTTGATACCCAGAGATCTAGTAGACTGTGTGGGATCAGAGGTTCTTGTAGTAAGGGAATGGCAACTTGAGGAGAGAATTCACCTCTTTTGGCCAATTGATCCTCCATCTACATCAGCCTTAACTCTCCAAGCCTGGGTGGAGGTGGTGGGTCCAGGTGGAGAGGGGAAGATTAGAAGGATTGGGGATTTCTTTTATCTCAGGTTAACCTAACATCCTTCATCAAAGGCCAATTTTTTTTTTTTTAACTTTTATTTTAGGTTTGGTGGTACACGTGAGGTTTGCTACATAGGTAAACTTGTGTCAGGGAGGTTGTTTTTTTTTATTTTTTACATATTATTTCATCATCCAGGTATTAAGCTCAGTACCCAAATAGTTATCTTTTCTGCTCCTCTCTCTCCTCCTGCCCTCCCCACTTAAGTAGACCCCAGTGTCTATTTCCTTCTTTGTGTTCATAAGTCCTTATGATTTAGCTACCACTGATAGGTGAGAACATTCAGTATTTGGTTTTCTGTTTCTGCACTAGTTTGCTAAGGATAAGAGCCTCCGGCTCCATTGATGTTCCCACAAAATACATGATCTCATTCTTTTTTTATGGCTGTATAGTATTCCATGGTATATATGTACCACATTTTCTTTATCCAATCTGTCATTGATGGGTACCTAGGTTGATTCCATGTCTTTGCTATTGTAAATAGTGCTGCAGTGAACATTCATATGCATGTATCTTTATAGTAGAATGATTTATATTCCTCTGGGTATCTACTCAGTATTGGGATTGCTCAGTCAAATAGTTCTGCTTTTAGCTCTTCAAGGTATTGCCATAGTACTTTTTACAGTGATTGAACTAATTTACACTCCCACCAACAATGTATATGTGTTCCCTTTTCTCTGCAACCTTGCCCGCATCTGTTATTTTTTGACTTTTTAGTAATAGCCATTCTGACTGGTGTGAAATGGTATCTCATTGTGGTTTTGATTTGCATTTCTCTAATCTGTGATATTGAGCTTTTCTTCATATGTTTGTTGGCCACATGCATGTCTTCTTTTGAGAAATGTCTGTTCATGTCAAAGGCCAATTGTCAGTGCCCCAGTTCTGCTCAGTATCTGCCCTCTTTGTTCTCCCGTCTTAGGCACAGGCTGTGAGCATTGTCTTAGGATTCATGGCTCTTGGGGTGGAATTTGAGTCCTGTGTTGGAGGCTTCAGTATGACAGAAACTTCCTGAAGTCTTCTTCTACTGAAGCCTCCTGTGTTGGAGGCTTCTCCTCCTGAAGAGCCTCCAACACAGGAGGCTTCAGTAGGACAAAAAAAATTGTTCCTCATGAGCTACCTTGTCTCCAGCCATAAGGTAAAATGAGGCATTATTGGAGGCTCCATCAAACAGGTTCTCCTTCCTTTGATTAATGGAAGGAGCCCAGTCTTTCGGGTGTTTCTCCTTTGAAGTATATCTTACTAAAATGTCTTACCTCTGAAGTTCGTTTGCAACCTCATATGTGACTCATCTGTTCACTAGGTGTCTAGTTCGAGGAGATGACAAGAGCATCATTTACTCCCTATGCTCATTCCTGAAACACCTTATTTTATTGCAGTGGAAACTGAGATCTGGCCAAAGTTTGATGATTTGCCCAGGCTGGCATTAAAATACAGTTCTCTTCTACCACCCTTTTCTGTCTTCATGCTATACTCCTTGAGATGATGACCACCAGTTTAAGTTTAGTATTGCCATAAAGTTGGGGTTGGGGCTTTGCATGCAATGGAAATGTTACTAAACATCCAAACTTTACTGTCTTCTGGATAGCATAGTAAACAAGTAAAATACTCATGGAGCAGGAAGAATAAAATTTTAGCTATTAGTAAAAAGCATTTTGTTATACAACTTCTGAATAATTTTCTTTTGAAATTATATTTATAAGGGCCTTTGTTTTTTGGTTAAATTTACAATATATGTTAGAAGAAATCTGATTAATTTTATTTTTACTTCTTTTTGCAGCAGCAAGATTAAGAAAATTGTGCATTCAATTGTATCATCCTTTGCATTTGGGTATGTGAGACATAGAAAACACCATGTATTAAATATATCTGAGACTTGGCTGGGCACGGTGGCTCACACCTGTAATCCCAGCACCCTGGGAGGCCGAGGCGGGCGGATCACATGAAGTCAGGAGTTCAAGACCAGCCTGGCTAACATGGTGAAACCCCATCTCTACTAAAAATACAAAAATTAGCCAAGCATAATGGTGGGTGCCTATAATCCCAGCTACTCAGGAGGCTGAGGCAGAAGAATCGCTTGAACCGAGGAGGCATAGATTGCAGTGAGCTGAAATTGCACCATTGCACCGCAGCCTTGGCGACACAGCAAGACTCCATGTAAAAAAAAAAAAAAAAAAAAAGAAAAGAAAATATATGAGTCTCATATATATCTATATATACATATATATATATGAGACTTAATACTTCAATGAGAAATACTGAAATAAAATAACAAAAAAGCATTTCCACTGTCCATCAGTTGCTAAGTAGCCATGTGCCCCATCTAATGTAATCTAATTTATCATGGAATTTTGGTTTAAGCTGGACATTAAGAATTGCAAATAAATGGCTTTTGCCTAAGATTAATTGTAATATATTAATATTGTTTTTCTTCCATCTGCAAAAGTAACATTAATGAAAATCAAATGTTAAAATTCTATAATTATTAGTAAAGTGTTTTATTAGTACCTTATACATCAGGAATTACTCTTTAATTCTGGAAACAATTTACTTAGACTCTTCTCTACATAAGAGTAAGATTTCATACTATGATATAGATTTATACGATATAATTGTTTCCTTTTGAATTAATAATATTTGAATTTGAGCTGCAAGTTTTTAAAAAAGTACTTCAAAGACTAATTCACCTTTATAGACTAGGCAAATAGTCTAATCAATTTATGGAGAATGTATTTAGAATATGTAACAGCAAGTGGCAGGAGGTACTTTAGAGTTCAAGACTCATGTGCCCATCACTCTGCTAGAAGCACCCATAAATATGAAATCATGTACTTGTTGAAAATGTCACTGATGAAAAATCTTGGTCTTTTAAGAGCTTATGTTACTCATGCTTTCATTTGGTTTTTATTAATAAATTCTTTAGAATTATCCAGATTAATGAGGGTTTATTTTTTATGAGAAATTGGTATAAACTTCTTATGAAATTCGCAAATTTTAAGAAGAGTTTGTAAACAGACAGGTGATTTTAATTCAGTTTTACTTTTCTCTCTTGAGGTGTTGGTCTGATGTGTTTACTATAATATCTTGTGAAGTGGTTTGGTGAGAATTTTGTTTATTAAGAACTGCTTCTATTGGGTGAAAACAGTGATTTTTCTGAGATTCTAAGGCATTACAGTTTTTCCTGCCACTGGGCAGCTTAATACTAAATAATAACATTTTGGTACCTGATCAGTGGCTTAAATATAGTATAGCTACAGGGACAAATGCCCCTTTATCTTTGCATTTATTTATTTATTTATTTATTTGTTTATTTTAGACTATTTGGAGTTTTCCTGGTCTTACTGGATGTCACTCTCATCCTTGCCGACCTAATTTTCACTGACAGCAAACTTTATATTCCTTTGGAGTATCGTTCTATTTCTCTAGCTATTGCCTTATTTTTTCTCATGGATGTTCTTCTTCGAGTATTTGTAGAAAGGTAAGTTTGATTATTTTTATAATGCATTAAGCTACTTTGTAGTTTTATAAGAAGCACTTTCGGAGGCTGAGGTGGGAGGATCCCAAGGTCAGGAGTTCGAGACGATCCTGGCCAACATGGTGAAACCCCGTCTCTACTAAAAATACAAAAATTAGCTGGGCATGGTGGTGGTTGCCTGTAATCCCAGCTGTTTGGGAGGCTGAGGCAGGAGAATCGTTTGAACCTGGGAGGCAGAAGTTGCATTGAGCCGAGATCATGCCATTGCACTCTAGCCTGGGTGACAGGGTGAGACTCCATCTCAAAAAAAAAAAAAAAAAAGCATTTTAAAATAATTAACGGGAGCATTCACTACAAACTGACTTAAGAGCCTTTGGGCCTTATGAGAACATTGGTGGTAGTCTGGCAGTACCCCCCCCATGTCCTGTGTTTGAGGTGGCCATGGATTGATGCTCCTCTGCCTTTGGACAGGGGTGGAAAGAGTGGGAAGGACTGCATCTTGTGGTTTGAGTGACAGCTCAGCCATAGCACAATAAAACACTAGGTAGACTTTTACAGTTTTTGATCTAGGCCCTGATTCCCAGACAGCACCTGTGGATCCACCTGTAGGCTAGGAGAACTTGCCATCCTGAAGGCAAGGACACAGGCCTGGCTGTTTTTACGATGTGATGACTGTAGAGCCCCAGGGCCTTCAGTAAACTCCTGCAATAGCTAAGGAGTGGTTACAGCAGGTCTTGGGCAAGACCCCGTGCTGTGCTGGCCTCAGGTCTGACCCAATGCAGTCACAGTAGTGGTGGCCACAGAGGTGCTTATGTCACTCAACCCCAAGCTTTAGGTGCCTCAGAACAGAGAGAGAGACTCTGTTTGTTTGGGAGAAAGTAAGGGAAGAAAACAAGAGTCTCTTTTTGGTAATGCAGAGAATTATCCTGGATCTTGTCCAAGACCATTAAGGCAGTACCACTATGAGTCTGCAAGAACCAGAGTTTAGGAGGCTTGGGGTGCCCCCTAAAGCAGATAGAGATTAGATCACAGTATCCAAGTTCTTTCAAATATCTGGAAAGCCTTCCCAAGAAAGATGGGTACAAACAAGCCCTGACAGTGAAAACTACAATAAATACAGTGAAAACTACAATCAATACCTAACTCTTCAATGCCCAGACACCAAAGAACATCTGCTAGCATCAACACTATCCAGGAAAACATGACCTCACCAAATGAACTAAATAAGACACCAGGGGCCAATCCTGTAGAAACAGAGATATGTGACCTTTCAGACAAAGAAATCAAAATAACTGTGTTGAGGAAGGAAACTCAAAGAAATTCAAGATAACACAGAGAAGGAATTCATAATTCTATTAGATAAGTTTAACAAAGAGATTGAAATAATTTAAAAGAATCAAGCAGAAATTCTGGAGCCAAAAAATGTAATTGGCATGCCGAAGAATGCATTAGAGTCTTTTAATAGCAGAATTGATAAACCAGAAGAAAGAATTAATGAGCTTGAAGACAGGCTATTTCAAAATACATAGAGGAGACAAAGGAAAGAATAAAAAACAACGACGCCTGCCTACAGGATCTAGAAAATAGCCTCAAAAGGACAAATCTAAGTGGTATTGGCCTTAAAGAGGAGGTGGGGAGTGTAGAAAGTTTATTCAAAGGGATGGTAACAGAACATCCCAAACCTACAGAAAGATATCAATATCCAAGTACAAGAAAGTTATAAAACACCAAGCAGATGTAACTCAAAGAAGACTACCTCAAGGCATTTAATAATCACAGTCCCAAAGATCAAGGATAAAAAAAGGATCTTAAAAGCAGCAAGAGAAAAGAAACCAATAATATACGATGGCGCTACAATATATCTGGCAGCAGACTCTTTAGTAGAAACGTTTCAGGCCAGGAGAGAGTGGCATGACATATTGAAAGTGCTGAAGGAAAAAAACATTTACCCTAGAACAGTGTATCCAGTGAAAGTATCCTTCAAAGTGAAGGGGAAATAAAGACTTTTCCACACAAAAGCTGAGGGATTTTGTCAACACCAGACCTGTCCTAGAAGAAATGCTAAAGGGAGTATTTCAATCAGAAAGATAAGGACATTAATGAGCAATAAGTAACAACCTGAAGGTATAAAACTCACTGGTAATAGTAGGTATACAGAAAAATGCAGAATGTCATAACACTGTAACTATGATGTATAAACTACTCTTACTCTAAGTAGAGAGACTAAACTATGAGCCAATGAAAAATATTAACTACAACTTTTCAAGACATAGATGGTATAATAAGATATAAATAGAAATAACAAAAAGTTAAAAAATAGGGAGACTAAGTTGTAGAGTTTTTATTAGTTTTCTTTTTACTTGTTTATGAAAACTTATTATAAGATTAAAATAATGGATTATAAGATAGTATTTACAAGCCTCATGGTAACCTCAAACCAAAAAATATAACAATGGATACACGAAAAATAAAAAACAAGAAACTAAATCATATCACCAGAGAAAATTACCTTCACTAATGAAAGACAGGAAGGAAAGAAGGAAGAGAAGACCCCAAAACAACCAGAAAACAGATAACAAAATGGCAGGAGTAAGTCCTTACTTATCAGTAATAACATTGAATGTCAGTAGACTAAACTTTTCAATCAAAAGATAGAGTGGATGAATGGATGAAAGAACAAGACCCATCCAGGTGTGGTGGCTCACGCCTGTAATCCCAGCAGTTTGGGAGGCCAAGGCAGGCAGATCATGAGGTCAAGAGCTACAGACCATCCTGGCAAACATGGTGAAACCCTGTCTTTACTAAAAATGCAAAAATTAGCAGGGTGTGGTGGTGCGCACCCGTAGTCCCAGCTACTCAGGAGGCTGAGGCAGGAGAATCACTTGAACCCGGGAGGCAGAGGTTGCAGTGAGCCGAGATGGTGCCACTGCACTCCAGTCTGGTGACAGAGCAAGACTCCAGCTCAAAAATAAATAAAATAAAAAAACCCATTGCTCTGTTGCCTACAGGAAACACTCTTCTCCCATAAAGACACATGTAGGCTGGAAGTGGTGGCTCACTCCCATAATCCCAGCACTTTGGGAGGCAGAGGCGGGTGGTTTACTGGAGGTCAGGAGTTCGAGACCAGCCTGGCCAATATGGTGAAACCCTGTCTCTACTAAAAATACAAAAATTAGCTGGGTGTGGTGCCGGGCACCTGTAATTTCAGCTACTCATGAGGCCGAGGCCGGAGAATCACTTGAACCTGGGAGGCAGAGGTTGCAGTGAGCTGAGATCACACCACTGCACTCTAGCCTGGGTGACAGAGTGAGATTCAGTCTCAAAAAGAATAAAAATAAAAACAAACCCAAAAACCAAAACCAAAACCAAAAACATGCTAATATATCTGATAAATATTGATGCAAAAATCCTCAACAAGATACTAGAAAACTGAATTCAACAATATATGGGAAAGATCACTCATCATGACAAGTGGGATGTGTCTCTGGGATGCAAGGATGGTTCAACATTTGTAAATCAATCAATGCGATACATTATATCCACACAGTAAAGGATAAAAACCATAAGATCATTTCAGTTGATGCTGAAAAAGCATTTGATAAAATTCAACATCCCTTCATGGTAAACACCCTAAAAAAACTGGGTATAGAAGTAACATACCTCAACTTAATAAAAACCATATATGACAGACCCACAGTCATTACCGTACTGAATGGGGAAAAAATGAAAAGCTTTTCTCTGCGATCTAGAACACAATGAGGATGCCCACTTTTACCACCGTTGTTCAACATAGTACCGGAAGTCCTAGCTAGAGCCATTATGGAAGAGAAAGAAAGGGAATAAAAAAAGAAATCCAAATTGGGATGGAAGAAGTAAAATTATCCCTGTGTTTGCAGATGATACATTTTATTTGGAAAATACTAAAGACTCCACCAAAAAAAACTATTAGAATTGATAAATTCAGTAAAGTTGCAGGATACAAAATCAATATACAAAAATCAGTAGCATTTCTATATGTCAACAGTGAACCATTTGGAAAGGACATTTAAAAAGTGGTCCTATATACAATAGCCACAAATAAGATTAAATACCTAGAAATTAACCTAACCAAAGAAGTGTAAGATCTTTATAATGAAAATGATAAAACACTGATGAAAGAAATTGAAGAGGACACCAAAAAATGGAAGGAGATTCCATGTTCATGGATTGGAAGAATCAATATTGTTAAAATGTCCATACTCTCCAAAGCAATTTACAGATTCAATGCACTCCCTGTCAAAATATGAATGACATTCTTCACAGAAATAGAAGAAACAATCTTAAAATTTATATGGAGCCACAAAAGACCCAGAATAGCCAAAGCTATTCTAAGCAAAAAGAACAAAGCTGGAGGAATCACATTACCTGACTTCAAATTATACTACAGAACTATATAACCAAAACACCATGGCACTGGCATAAAAACAGACACACAGACCACTGGAATAGAATAGAGAACCCAGAAACAAATCCACACACACTTACAGTGAACTCATTTTTCATAAATGTGCCAAGAACGTACATTGAACAAAAGACATCTCTTCAACAAATGGTTCTGGGAAAACTGGATATACACATACAGAAGAATGCACCTAGACCCCTACCTCTCACCATATACAAAAATCAAATCAACATGAATTAAAGACTTAAATCTAAGACCTCAATGAAACAACTATACTACAAGAGAACATTGGGAAGAATCTCCAGGACATTGGTCTGAGCAAAAATTACTTGGGCTATACCTGACAAGCACAGGCTACCAAAGCAAAAATGGGCAAATGGGATCACATCAAGTTAAAAAACTGCTTCATAGCAGAGGAAACGATTAGCAAAGTGAAGAGACAGTCCACAGAATGGGAGAAAATATTTGCAAACTACCCATCTGAAAAGGGATTAATAACCAGAATATGTAAGGAGCTCAAACAACTCTCTAGGAAAAAATCTAATAATCTAATCTTTTAAATGATAAGATTTGAATAGGCATTTCTCAAAATATACAGATGGTAAACAGGCATATCAAGAGATGCTTGACATGATTGATCATTAGAGAAATTCTCAGTGTAGAAAACTACCATGAGATATCATCTCACCCCAGCTAAAATGGTTTATATCCAAAAGTCAGGCAATAACAAATCCTGACAAAGATGTGAAGATAAGAGAACCCTCATACACTGTTCATGGAAATGTAAATTAGTAGAACCAATTGGAGAACAGTTTGGAGGTTACTCAAAAAACTAAAAATAGAACTACCATATGATCCAGCAATCCCACTGCTGGGTAGATACCCACAAAAAAGGAAATCACTATATAGAAGAGATATCTGCATTCCCTTTTTGTTGCAGCACTGTTCATAATGGCTAAGATTTGGAAGCAACCTAAGTGCCCATCAAGAGATGAATGGGTAAAGAAAATATAGTACATATACACAAGAGAGTATTATTTAGCCATAAAAAAACAATAAGAACCCGGCCAAGTGCACTGGCTCATGCCTGTAATCACAGCACTTTGGGAGGCTGAGGTGGGCAGATCACCTGAAGTCGGGAGTTCGAGACCAGCCTGACCAACATGGAGAAACCCCATCTCTACTAAAAATACAAAAATTAGCTGGGTGTGGTGCCGGGCACCTGTAATCCCAGCTACTCGTGAGGCTGAGGCAGGAGAATCGCTTGAACCCAGGAGGTGGAGGTTGCAGTGAGCCGAGATCACGCCATTGCACTCCAGCCTGGGCAACAAGAGTGAAACTCCATCTCAAAAAAAAAAAAAAAAAATACTGTCATTTGGAACAACATGGATGGAACTGGAGATCACTATGTTTGTTAAGTGAAATAAGCCAGGCACAGAAGGATAAACATCACATGTTCTCACTTACTATGGGGCTCTAAAAAAAAAAAAAAAAAATTGAACTCATAGACCTAGAGAGTAGATGGATGGTCATCAGAGGCTAGGAATGGTAGTAGGGGCTTGGGGGTGGGGAGATGGGGATGGTTAATGGGTACAAAAAAATAGAATGAGTAACGCCTACTATTTGATAGCACAACAGATTGACCATAGTCAACAATAACTTGATTGTATATTTTTAAATGACTGAAAGAGTGTAATTGGATTGTTTGTAACATGAATGATAAATGCTTGAGGGGATAGATACCCCATTGTCCACAATGAGGGTGATTATTACGCATTTAGTTATATCTCTTATTATGTTTGAATTGCCATGTTGGTGTTTTAGTCACATATAAGTGTCAAATGATGAATATAATTTTATTGTTTGAAAACTTCCCATGAATGTTATATTTTTCCCTTAGTCTACTCTAGAAAATACATTTTAAATAATTCATGATAGTAGAATTCTTAATGGGGATGAGTCAATAGTTTGTGGTCTTTAAATATTCCTATCTCTTCTTGCAGGGGGGAATGAACTTATTTTTTTTGTTTTATATTACAGGAGACAGCAGTATTTTTCTGACTTATTTAACATTTTAGATACTGCCATTATTGTGATTCTTCTGCTGGTTGATGTCGTTTACATTTTTTTTGACATTAAGTTGCTTAGGAATATTCCCAGGTATGAAACATAAGACTTACCTCTCTTAAAGTTTTTCATTAATTTTAGCATTTTCTGTGCCTTTTATTCTATATAATCTTTTCAACTTCAAATGTTCTCATTCTATACCAAATACATTGCTTTAAAATGAAATGTTTAGGTAAATTCCCACATACTTTGAAACTAAAAGATTGTGATATTTAGGGACCGGTGAAGAGTATACAGGCTAAGTACCATTAATGGAATAAAGAAGATGCAGTACCCCAAAGAAGGACTTTTACTCTTGTACTAACTTTAACTTCTCTACATTTTGAAGTTCTCGTCAAATTCCCATTTGTATCATTTTTTGGCCTTTTGGCTAAGATCAAGTATAATATTCTTATCAGTTTAATATCTGCTATATCAAAAAAATTTATATTGAAAACAATTCCCCTCTGTGCTTCAACTACAAATCCCTTACACATAATGTTCTGTCTGGATTTTTCCTACAGCCAAGAGGGAATTTATTTGAGCATATGCAAAATTAGAGTGACTTCAATCATGAGTTTCTAAAAAATAGCAAACAGAACAGAAACTAGGAGATGACACGTGGCAACACAATAGTAGAGTTTTGCAGTATAGTTGTGGTAGAAACAAAGAAAGCAGGCAAAGTTAGAAGTGGGATTGGGAAACTAAAGAGTATATGAAGCCCTGGTGACTCTTTTTTTACTGTGACAAGGAGGAAAATGAAAGAGCAAATGTATACTGGGATGTAGATGGTGGCTTCCTAAGCTTGTTCATGGGTCAAATAGCTGATTTCTTTTTGTACCCTAGCTTCCCTGGACTACAGCTCAGGCCCCAACTAAAAGCATGTTAAGTGATAGGCTTTTGGAGTTATTTGAAAATAACCTCAGCCAATGTGGTCCTCTGACTAGAAACGTCAGCATCACTTGACAGCTTGCTAGAAATATAAGAAGAAAAATACCTTAGGCCCCACCCTGGACCCACTGAATCAGTATCTCTGGGACCCAGCAATCTGCAGCTTAACAAGCTTTTCCAGGTGGCTCTTATTGATGTGTGCCCAAATCAGAGAAGCACTAGTCCAGACCATCAGTTCTCTGCTTCAGTGGTTCTGATGGTAGGGGAGATTCCAGCTAGCACACTTCGGAAGTATCTCAATCTGTTGCCTCCCTGATGTGTAGTAGCAGCTGTAGTGAACATCTGTTACTCATGGGAATAACAAAGATGAACAAGAATAATCGATTTGTTTTGATGTGGAAAAAATTGAAAATGCTAGTCTTAAATCCCAAAATTAAATTTACAGATGCTAAGAGTCTATTGTATCACTATTTCTCTAGACCAGAATTTCTCAGCCTCAGCATTACTGACATTTTGGGCCAGATGATTGTCATAAGAGGGTGGTGAGCAGTTATATTAATTGTAGGGTGTTTAGCAAAATTCCTGGCCTCTATTCACTAGATGTAAGTAACACACAGACACACACACACATGCACGCACGCCAGTGGTGAAAACCTAAATGCCTCCAGACATTGCCAAATATCCCCCAGGTAGGTAATTGGGGAGAGGAGGGAAAATTGCCTCTGGTTAACAACTGCTGCTCTAGACATAGTTTATATTGATAAAATTTTGTTTCTGAAGCAAAAATGGATCGTTTAAATTTATTCTTAGATGGACACATTTACTTCGACTTCTACGACTTATTATTCTGTTAAGAATTTTTCATCTGTTTCATCAAAAAAGACAACTTGAAAAGCTGATAAGAAGGCGGGTAAGTGGGCAAAACATGCTTATGATTCACAAAAATATTTTGTGTTTTGGGACCCATTGACAAGGGTTGATATCTATACTGTATAATGTTTTTTATTTTTATGTTGATGAGTGTTTCACAAACTAATGACGATTTTAAACTGTCAGGTTTCAGAAAACAAAAGGCGATACACAAGGGATGGATTTGACCTAGACCTCACTTACGTTACAGGTTTGTGACACTTAACCGTTGATTTACTTGTATTACTTCACTTTTTCTTGTAATTGTATTTTTTTTTGCCTCATCTAAGACACATTCATTCAAAATATTCTTTATTCATGAGGATATATGCTACTGTGATAGTGTGACATATTTGTGGTTTAGCCCTGGCAATGGAAGATCTACATGTCTTCTCAATTCAAGACTACTCAGTTGCAGCATAGGAACTTGAATGGATTTTCAGCTGACTCCATTTGAGTTTCAATTTATTAACCTCTAGTAGTTATTTCTGAGTCCCAGGGATCCCATGGAGACCTCTTCTTATCCTAGAATCCCAGAGAATGAGGTCAGTGCTTTGTAGATCTCAGGTTTTCTGAGTCAGAGGGCTGCAAAGCACCTTGGGAGTTCCCACCATCACTGGTGCCCAGAAATCTTGGATTTTCTCTGGTATTTAAGATAAGAAATAAATTCTAAGAACAGGGGGAACTTCAGACTGAGGCCATCATAAATACATGGCATACAGTTAGAACTAGTGGAGACTTAAGAACTCCATGGCAGTTTAATGGTCATTGTGTTGGATAATTTAATATGTTATTTGATTATCCTGAGTATTAGCTCTTTTCTGTCAACCTCAATCTTAAAAGGTTTTTTTTCTGTGAAAATGGAATCTGATCATGTATAAATTAATTTTTTTGTATGTTGTATGAAATCTATAATAATGTTTGTAATAGTGATGATTTTGACTTTTAGAACGTATTATTGCTATGTCATTTCCATCTTCTGGAAGGCAGTCTTTCTATAGAAATCCAATCAAGGTAAGGGTCTTTATCTGACAAATACTCATTTCTTAGTGAATGTAGACTGTGTAGTCATAAGTTTAATACTGACCCAGATATGGCAGTATTCTTTTAAAAATGTACTCTTTCAAGGAAAAAAAATCATAATGGATTGATACCAGTTACAGTTGTGCCAGTGGTTACAAACCACCCCAAAACTTACTGGCTTATAACAGCAACTATTTATTTGGCTCATGATACTGTGGTATGTGAATTTGGTATGGGCTTAACTGTCCAATTTAGGTGCTTGCAGAAAGGATTTCCTGTCTCAACTAAGCTCATTCATGTATCTGTGGGCAGCTACTGGGTCATCTGAGGACTGGTTTAGTCTAAAATGACTTGGCTACCCTCGACTGAAAGAGCCACTGCATGCTAAATGCACCCCCCAAGGCCCAAGGCCCATCCCATCTGGCACCCACTGCTGCCAACAGCCCCACCCCCTTCACCAGCAGAGCCACCATTTGCCTCATGCACTTCTAAGGCACTGAGGACTGGCCTGCCTGGTGCCCGCCCTGCTGTTGGCAATACCCCATAACTAGCAAAGCCACTGCAGCTAGCATGCATATGCCTAAGGCCTGAGAACTAATCTGAATGATGGCTCTCACAACAAGAAAAGCCATACCACTGTCTCCACAAACACTCACCATCAGGCCACTGAGGCACTCACAGACACCACTGAATGCTGATTACAGCCAAAAAAGTCACCTGAAGACTATATTACTGCACCCACCCAGAACCAAAGTCAAAGCACCCTACTCAATGAACACTATAGGAGACAACTATTGGAAAAAGTATTTCTCTGTGAAAGCTCCCTAACATTGGAAGAGGCAACTGTTCTCCCAGATGTGCAAAAATCAGTTTAGGGCCATAAGAAACGTGAAAAGCAAGGAAACATTACACCTCCAAAGAAACACCATAATTCCCCATTAACAGACCCTAAATTTAAAGAGTATATCAAATGGCTAAGAAGGAATTCAAAATAATGATCTTAAGGAAACTATGAGATACAGAGAATTCAGATAGACAAATCAATGAAATTAGAAAAACAATTTATGATCTTATGAGAAATTCAACAAGGATATATATATCATTAAAAACCAGACAGAGATTGTGGAGCTGAAGAATTTAAGGAATAAAATAAAAATACAATCAAGAGTCCAGGTGAAGTGGTTCACACCTGTTATCCCAGCACTTTGAGAGGCCAAGGCAGTGGATTACTTGAGGCCAGGAGTTCAAGACAAGCCTGATTAACACGGCGAAATCCTGTCTCTAAAAAATACAAAAATTAGTTGGGTTTGGTGGTGCATGCCTGCCATCCAAGCTACTTGGGAGGCTGAGACATGAGAATTGCTTGAATCCAGGAGGTGGAGGTTGCAGTGAGCCAAGATTGTGCCACTGCACTCCAGCCTGGGTGGCAGAGTGATACCCTGTCTCAAAAAAAAAAAAAAAATACAATCAAGAGCTTTAAAAACAGACATGGGAGAGATATGGCCAAAATCTAGGAAGCTCAAAGGTTCTCAAATAGATTCAACCCAAAAAAGGTCTTCTCTGAGGTGCATAGTAGTCAAACTGTCAAAAGTCAAAAAGAGGGAATATTCATCAGGTGCGGTGTCTCACACCTGTAATCCCAGCACTTTGGGAGGCTGAGGCGGGTGGATCACTTGAGGCCAGGAGTTCAAGGCGAGCATGGCCAACATGAAGAAACCGCATTTCTACTAATAATACAAAAAAATTACCTGGGTGTGGTGGCGTGAACCTGTAGTTCCAGTTACTTGGGAGGCTGAATCACGAGAATTGCTTAAACCCAGGAGGTGGAGGTTGCAGTGGGCCAAGATCATACCACTGCACTACTGCCTGGGTGACAGAGCGAGACTGTATCCAAAAAAAAAAAAAAAAAAAAAAGGAAATGTTAAAAACAGCAAGAAAAAAGCATCAAGTCACATATAAGGGAAACTCCATTTGATTAGCAGTAGATTTCCCAGTGGAAACTTTACAGGTCAGTAGACAATAAGATGGGATGATATATTCAAAGTACCGAAGGAAAAAAAAAACAACTGTCAACCAAGAATACGATACCTAGTAGAGCTATCCCCTAGAAATGAGGGAGAAATAAAGTATTTCCTAGACAAGCACAAACTGAAGGAATTCATTCCCACTAGACTGACCTTACAAGGACTGCTTTAGGTGGTTCTACATCTGGAAGCAAGAGGATGATTACCATTGTCAAAAACACAAACGTGTAAAACTCACCTGTAGTGCAGATATACACATGAGAAAGAGAAAGGAATCAAACTTTGTCACTACAGAAAGTGACCAAACCACAAAGATTAAAAAAAAAAGGTGAAGAAAAGAACAAAGGATATACAAAACAACCAGAAAAAAATGAACAAAATGACAGGATAAAGCCTCATCTATTAATAGTAACCTTGAATGTAATGTAAACAGATCAAATTCCCAATTAAAAGATATAGAGTTGGCTGCCAAGATTTAAAAAAAAAAAAAAGACCCAACTGTATGCTGCCTACAAGAAACTAACTTCACCTGTAAAGGATCATACAGACTGGAAGTGAAGGGATAGAAGAAAATATTCCAGGCAAACAGAAAACAAAAGCGAGCAGAGGTAGCCATACTTATCAGATAAAAACAGACTTTAAGTCAAACTGTATGAAGAGACAAAGAAGGTCATTTTATAATAATAAAGAGATCAACTTAGCAATAAGATATAATAATTGTAAATATGTATGTACCCTACACTAGAGCACTCAGATAAACAAGGCAAATATTTTTAGGTCTAAAGGGAAAGATAGACTCCAATGCAGTAACAGTTGGGGCCTTTAGCACCCCACTCTTAACCACTGGACAGATCATCTAGACAGAAAATCAACAAAGAAATATCAGATTTAAGCTTACAGATAGGAATAAGTTCTGGTGTTCTGTAGTGCTGTAGGGTGACTACAGTTAACAATAATTTATTGTATATTTTTAAATAGAGAGGATGTTGAGTGCCCCCAACACAAAGAATGATAAATATTTGAGGTGATAGATATGCTGATTATCCTGATTTGATCATTACACATTGTATACAAGTATTGAGATATCCCTCTCTACCTTATAAATATGAACAAGTATTATGTGTCAATTAAAAATATTTTTAAAGAATGAAGGAAACAGATTTTTTAAATGAAAGGAAAGAAAATTACCTGACTTGGCTGAATGGCCCCATGTGGTCTCTCATTCTCCAGTAGGCTACTTCAGGCCTGTTCACATGATGGCAGAGGCAAGAGTCCGAGGAGCGGCAACAAAACAATGCAAATCCTCTTCAGGCCCAGGCTCAAAATTATATATTAATTCTACCCCATTTTATTGGACAATGCAAATTACACTACCAGTCTGGATTCAAGGAGTAGAAAATAAACTCCAACTCTTGATGGAAGGAATTATAAAGAATTGTGGCCGTTTTTGATAGTCTACCATAGGGAAGAAAGATGGGGATGCCATAACCCAAAATGTGTTTTCTTAGGTTGAGATCCTAAATTATAGTCGGGGCATATTGCTTTAGGCTCTGTGGATGACTAAATTAATTTCAAACATATAATGCTGTTTACTGTGAAATGCCAGCTGAAAGGATCATTGTTTAATTTTATGTAATTTACAATACTTATTATACCTCAATAAAAATATAACTATCGAGGGCTGGTATCAGTTGCCGAGAGGTGGAAGGAGTACCTCTCTGCAGTGTGTTAGCTCAGTTCTGAACAGGACAGGGCTGCAAGTTCAGCTACTTCCCAGAAAATGTCCTGGATACCTGGCCTGAGTCATCATCCCATGACTAGAGAACGTGGACGGATTATTTTATCAAGAAACTAGTGATAAACCAAGGGCTATAGGAATTAAGAACTAGGGCTAAAAAAGAAATGTTTAGAGTGATGCAAGATGGCCAATTAGAAGCAGCTGCAGTCTGCCGCGCTCACAAAGAGGAATGAAAAGGGGCGAGGGAATTCAGCACCTTCAACTGAGATAACCAGGTTCTCACATTGGGACTGACTGGATGAACAGGTCGACCAATGGAGAATGAAGATAAGCAGGCAGAGGGTGCGATGGCCCAGCCGGGGGCGGCATGGAGCCAAAGGAACCCCCACTCCCAGCCAAGGGAAGCAGTGAGTGAGTGTGCAGTCCTGCCCGGGAAACCGTGTTTCTCTCATGGATCTTTGCAAGCCGTGGATCAAGAGATCCCCTTGTGAGCCCATGCCACCAGGGCTGTGGATCTGATACACAGACCTGTATGGAGTCTGGGCACATCAGCTGCTCAGGCACACACAGAAACCCAGGAGTTTTACACACTCTAGCCCCGGGGATCTTCAGCACAGTGGGAAATCTGTCCATACGTATCTCTGGGAAGGGGGCTGAATCCAGGGAGCCAGGCAGCATCATTCTGCAGGCCCCGTTTCCTTGGCACCTCACAAGTTAAGACCCACTGGCTTGGAATCCTAGCCTGCCAACAGCAGCAGGTTGGAATCCACCTCAGATGGGTCTGAGTTCCCGGGGAGGTGGCGAGAGGCAGCCAGCATCACTGTGGTTCATAGACTCAGCCACTCCAGCCTGCCAGCTATGGAGAATACAGACAGTCTGGACAAGGAAGAGTTCCCCACGACACAGCACAGCTGGCTTGCCAGATCATGACCAGACTGCCTCTTTAAGCAGGACCCCAATCAATTCCTCCTCACTGGGCAGGAATCCCTGTAGGGGCTTTAACCACTCCAGCAGCGGTTCTATGGACAGAGCTTTGATCTCTCCCTGAAATGGAGCTCCTGGTGGGAGGGGCAGCTGCCACCTCTGCAGTTTGGTCAACTCAGCCATTCCAACCTGCTGGCTTTGGAGAATACAGGTGGTCTGGAGGAGGAAGGATCCCCCACAGTGCAGCACACCTGCTCTACCCCAAAGCAGCCAGACTGCTTTTTTGGATGGGTCCCTGATCCCATGCCTCCTGACTGGGTGAGAATGCCCAACAGGGGTCTCCAGCCACCTCTTGCAGGTATGTGCGGGCTGGATACAGGTCAGTATCCCCCTGGGATGGAGCTTCCAAAGGAAGGAGCTGGCTGCCATCTTTGCTGTTTCTCAGCCTTCACTGGTAATATCTCCTTCAGAGTCTATGAGGAACTTAAATTTACAAGAAAAACACAACCCCATTAAAAAGTGGGCAGAGGATCTGAACAGACACTTCCCAAAAGAGACATGCATGCAGTCAACAAAAATATGAAAAAAAAAAACTCAACATCACTGATCATTAAAGAAATGCAAACAAAACCACAATGAGATACCATCTCATGCCAGTCAGAATGGCTACTATTAAAAAGCCAAAAAATAACATGCTGGGAAGGTTGCAGAGACAAAGAAATGCTGTTGGTGGGTGTGTAAATTAGTTCAACCCATGTGGAAGACAGTGTGGCAATTCCTCAAAGACCTAGAGGCAGAAATACCATCAGACCCAGCAATCCCATTATGGGGTATATACCCAAAGGAATATAAATCATTGTCTTATAAAAATACATGCATGCACACATATGTTCATTGCAGCAGTATTCACAAGAGCAAAGACATGGAATCAACCTAAATGCCAGTCGATGATAGATTAGATAAAGAAAATATGGTACATAGAGCGGGACATCTGGCTTCTGAGCGGGAACCTTTGTAGTGCCAGTGATGAAAGAGAGAATTAAATATGGGTGATGCTGAGAAAGGCAAGAAAATTTTTGTTCAGAAGTGTGCCCAGTGCCACACCGCGGAAAAGGGAAGCAAGCACAAGACTGAGCCTAGTCTCCATGGTCTCTTCAGGTGGAAGACAGGTCAGGCCATTGGATTATCTTAACATAGAGATTGATAAGAACAAAGCCATCACCTGGGGGGAGGATACACCTGAAGTATATAAAACTATTTATCCTTGCCTCCCCCACTATGCAGATTCAGAGTGTTCATCTTTTTGACTTATTATTTCCTCTTAACAGAGATAGCCAGTTTAATAAATGGATGACTTTGATACCTTCATTTTATTTTTCTCAATATTAAGCCAGTAAACATTGCTCTGAGGGTACCATACTAATCAGTTTTAAAATTTTGTGTCATTTTTGTTGTTGCACAGAGATATATACGTATGTGTGTGTATGTTTCAGAAAGATGTATTTACTGAAAGTTGGATTCATATAGTGGTATTGATTGTATTTTAAATTATAACTACTATTTGTTTTTCATTTTAAAGGTTATACATATATACATATATATATATATATATATATATATATATATATATATAGACACACACTTTATAGGTACACATATATCTTCATTTAAAAAAATAAAGAGAACAAATGAGCCAAAAAAGTCTCCATATTGTTACCAGTTATTTAAAATTTGATATGTTTATCTTTTTCTATCACACATACACACAATCATACTATATGCTTTTTGCATTTGTTTACATAGTGCTTAGATAGACTGTAATATGCAGATCACTCTCTAAAGATGTATCTATTCAGAATTAAATAAGAACGAATATGAATTAGATTTAAACAAGATCCATATTAACTGTGAATTAATGATTTAGAACAAATTACTTAAAGTTAGTTAACCAGCTAATTTACTTATCTGATAGCTTTAAACAGTGTGCATTTACAATAGAGACTCATCTGAGTAGCCAAACATACTTGTGGACTATTTGAAAAATCACAGTGGATTAGAACTTGAAGTTTGCATACCCTCTTATTCCCTGAATCTCCACTAGAAGATGCTAGTGAGAGACAAATTAATAAAAGTAATAACCATTTTAGGTTCCCCCTAGGAAATAGCTTATGTTGGTGCCATGTAAATATGTAAGATATGTGTTTGTCTTTTTTAGGAAGTTGTGCGGTTTCTAGATAAGAAACACCGAAACCACTATCGAGTCTACAATCTATGCAGTATGTACATTACTCTATATTGTGCTACTGTAGATAGAAAACAGATTACTGCACGTAAGAAGATGATTTTGTTTTTTAGATTGCATTTAATCATAAGTATTTGGTAGTGGCAAGGAATGAATTTAAAAATCCCCATCTTGGACTGGCCCCATTTAGTAGAAGGAGTTAGCCCAGCAGCACAAAGTACCGTATGAAGGATGTGGCTTTGGCAGGACCAATGAAGCTGGAGTGGAAGAAAACCATTTTAGGGAAGATCTGTTCTAGCGATATTAGGTTTAGGAAAATCTTTCTGTTTTTCTTGCCAGATTGTGTTATGAGGACATAGACAATTTAACAAATGAGTCTTCTGACCCATCAGCAGTGGCATGTGATGAGAGCAAGGCTCTAGATGGGAAAAAAGCAAAAAACTGTAGAAAATAGGTTGTAACCCAGTTTAATACCCTGTCTCTCTTGATTTTTTCCTCTACCTGTATACTCAATAGACATTTTCAGGGGGCAAACATTTTGGTCAGCTACATTTGCCTTGTGTGGTTTCTAACTACCCTGAAATAATATAATGAATAGTCTGCTAGAAAGTTAAAAATTATACCTATTAAACAAAAATAAGTTGAGTTTAGGTTATATGAGATGGATAAACCACTACCATCCTTATATTTTTGAAACGCTTGCGTTTATTTTAGAGTGGCAGGAGCAACTTGGAAAGCTCTTTTTGAAGATAGATAAGGAATTCTAATAAGATATGTTAACTTATTCATAACTTCCTCATTTATCATGTTATTCCCTATAGAGATATGACATACATATTATTTATTTTAGGTGAAAGAGCTTACGATCCTAAGCACTTCCATAATAGGGTCGTTAGAATCATGATTGATGATCATAATGTCCCCACTCTACAGTAAGTTTTATGCTAAATTGACTATCAGAAGAGGGCTAAATATATTGGGCTTGATTTTTTGAAAATATTTTAACTAAAAATCTTAAACTTGAAATCAGTCAGATGGTGGTTTTCACCAAGGAAGTAAATGAGTGGATGGCTCAAGATCTTGAAAACATCGTAGCGATTCACTGTAAAGGAGGCACAGGTAATAACATTTTCCTTTTTATTTCTCCATTTCTAAAGACATGTAAATATACATAAAGTACAAGAACAAGATACGTATTGCTATTAATATGTATTAATAATTGTTAGCATTTTTAAATATTAGCTCCAAGACTGAAAGAAGGGAAGGAGAAAGGAAAGAGGAGAGGAGGAAGGGTAGGAGATAGGGAGAGGATAAGGAAGGGAAGAAAGTAAGAAAAAAGAACTAAGGAAGGTTGAGCATATTTTCCCTTGTTTTCCTAGTATTTGGATTTCTTTATTTTTGGTTTGCTAGTTTATATCTCTCAAAATACAAACAGTCTTTAATTTTAGAATATCAGAGTACTGTTATTTAAGGCTGATCTTTTTTATTTTTAAATTAACAAATAAAAAACCAATATATTTATGGTGTACAACATGATGTTTTGATATAGGTAAACATTGTGAAATGGCTAAATCAAGCTAATTAGCATATGCATTACTCCACATATTTTTGTGTGAGAACATTTAAAATCTACTGTCTCAGCAATTTTCAAGTATACATTATTATTAACTGTGGTCACTATGTTGTACAATAAATTTCCTGAACTTATTCTTCCTGTCTAACTGAAATTTTGCATCCTTTAATTAACATCTCAGGCTGGGCACAGTGGCTCACACCTGTAATCCCAGCACTTTGGGAGGTTGAGGCAGGTGGATCACATGGTGAAGCCCCATCTCTACTAAAAATTACAAAACATTAGCCAGGTGTGGTGGCATGCACCTGTAATCCCAGCTACTCGGAAGGCTGAGGCAGAAGAATCGCTTGAACCTGGGAGGCAGAGGTTGCGGTGAGCTGAGATCGCACCATTGCACTCCAGCCCAAGCAACAAGAACAAAACTCCATCTAAAAAAATAACAATAATCATAAAGTAAAAACCAACATCTTCACAATCCCCCAAGTTTTGTCTCCCCAGCCCCTGGTAACCACCATTCTACTCTCTGCTTCTATGAATTTGACTTTTTTAGATTCCACAAATAAGCAAGACATGCAGTATTTGTCTTTCTACGCCTGGCTTATTTCACTTAACATAATGTTCTCCAGGTTCGTCCATATTATCTCGAGTGACAGGATCTCCTCTAAGGCTGAATAGTATGCCTTTAATTATATATACCATATATTATTTATCCATTCATCCACTGATGACATTTAGATTGACTCCATAGCTTGGGTATTATGAATAATGCTGCAGTGAACATGGGAGTGCAGATTTCATTTCCTTTGGATATATACCCAGAAGTGGAATCTCCAAATCATATGGTAGTTCTATTTTTGGTTTTTTGAGAAATCTCAGTGCTGTTTTCCACAATAACTACTAATTTACATTCACACCAACAGCGTACAAGGGGGTTCCCTTTTCTCTTCATCCTCACCAACTCTTCTTTTGTCTTTTTGTTAATGACCATCCTAACAGGTGTGAGGATATCTCTTTGTGGTTTTAATTTGCTTTTCCCTGATGATTAATGATGTTTAGCATTTTCTCATTATACCTCTTGGCCATTTGTGTGTCTTCTGTTGAGAAATATCTTTTCAGGTTCTTTGCCCATTTTCTAGAGAAGTAACTTGTTCTCTTGCTATTGTGTTGTCTGAATTCCTTTTTTAAAAAATCTGTTAACCTATTATCGAATGTATGCTTTGTAGATATTTCTCCCATTCTGTAGGTTGTCTCTTTACTCTATAAATATCTCCTTTGCTGTGCAAAAGCGTTTTAGTTTGATACAGTATCATTTGTCTACTTTTTCTTTCGTTGCCTATGCTTTTCAGTCATATCCAAAAATATCTTGGCCCAGACCAATGTCAAGAAGATTTTCACCTATCTTTTCTTCTAGTAGTTTTCCAATTTCATGTTTCACAGTTAAGCATTTACTTTGAGTTGATTTTTGTATATTGGGTGAGATAGGTTGCAATTTCATTTTTCTGCAAGTGGATATTCAGTTTCCCCAGTATCGTTTATTGAAGAGACTGTCCTTTCCTCATCTTGGATTCTTGGCACCTTTGTTGAATATCAGCTGAGTATAAATGCATGGATTTTTTCTGGGCTTTGTATTCTGTTCCATTGGTCTATATGTCTGTTTTTGTTCCAGTAATATTTAAGGTTGTTCTTAAACTTTGTGAGAACCTTTTAGATTAAGGGAGCCAACAGAGATGCTATATCAAAAATTATACTGGAATTTTTATAGTGTAATGATACGAAGAAGTTGACATTGGTGGGGTGAAAATGGGGGAAAAAAGCCATTTGTAAATCCAACCAATTTAAGTTTAGTTAGATTTTCTCTCATTCAGGTTTGGGCTTTAAATAATCATCTAAGCATATTTCACAAATTTTGACAAACATAAATAATTACATTTTTAGTGGGCTCTAAATCAATTTTTATATCAAATTCCAGGAAAACATAGCACCATCAACTGACTTATATAATTCAGTAAAATCAAGTTTTTGTCTTATTGACTAGTTTCAAGCCCATTAGTTAAAATACAGGTTCTGTGTTTAGCTGTATATTAGTTAATATACAGGTTCTGTGTTTAGCTCTACAGGTTGGAATATTGTATATATACTGGAAATTTACAGTACCATACTTAAGAATATAGAGGTTGAATCATTTGAAATTGCCAGTTTTTAACCATCTTTTGCTTTAAAAATGGCCATTTCACATTGTCCAACCTAAAATGTTATTATTAAAGAAGTTAGCATCAGTTTTCTATTAACTAATGCTAATTCCTTGCTTGAAGGAAAACAATCATTTCAAATCTGACTTTTTTTCTTTTGTGCTGAGAGAGGGTTTACATTATTCTGTGTTCACATAATATTTTGTTGATTTTGTTAAAGGTTGTTTAGAGGGCTAATATTCAGCTGGTATGTACGAGAGCAGCCTCTTTTTTATGTGTTCATTCATATTAGTCTTGCTGTCTTCTGGTTGGTTGCTGCTTGCAGGTTACCAGTAGTATCGTGATAGTAAAAATATTTTATATTGATTTATAGAAGTTCTTTAAAGAATCTGGATGCCAATTTTTCTTAGTATTGTAATTATATTCTCCCCACATGTTGCCTTTTAAATTTGATCGTGATTTATTTTGTTGTACAAAAGTTTGTAAATTTTTGTTTTGTTTTGAGACATGATCTCGCTGTGTCACTCAGGCTGGAGTGCAGTGGCACAATCTCGGCTCATTGCAGCCTGAACCTCCCGGGGTTCAAGCGATCCTCCCATCTCAGCCCCTCTGAGTAAGTGGGACTACAGGTGAGCGTCACCATGCCTGGCTAATTTTTGTATTTTTTATAGAGACAGGGTCTCACTGTGTTGTCCAAACTGGTCTCGAACCCCTGGACTCAAGTGATCCACCCACCTCAGCTTCCCAAAGTGCTGGGATTACAGGCATGAGCCATCATGCCTGGAGAGAAGTTTGTAATTTTGAATATAGTGAAATTTGTTTTTCTATGTGTGTGTATATATTTCACGCTTTTCTGTCATGTTTATGAAATTCACCCCCCTATACTGATGTAGTAAAGATATTCCACATTTCTTCAAAAATATTCAAGTTCCATTTTCAATATTTGGGTCTTTAATCTAATTGGAAGTTGGGGGAAGTGTTTTTTTCATATAGATAGCCAATTGTCCTAACACCATCAATTGCGTGCTGTTTTGTTCTCCATTAATTTGTAATCCCTCTCAGTAATATACCAAGTTTCTATAAATTTTCAAAACTGTTCCTAAGTTCTCTCTACCACACTTTTGTAATTATTGTAGCTTTATAATGTGGTTTGATAAAGGCATAATTGTCTTGCTCTTCTTGGAACTTTATTATTACATTCAATTTTAAAATCATTTTGTGAAGTGCCATAATAAAACACTTTTAGGATTTTTATTGGAACTACATTGAATTTATAGATTAACTTGAGAGAAGTGACAACTTTGCGATATTGAGTTGTACATGTGACTCATCTTGTTCATTCTTTAATAATATTTTATACTTTTTTATCATGTCTTTGCACATCTTTTCAAATATTCATTCCTGCACAAATTGTGACTGAAAATGGAATCTCTTTTTTTCTATTACATTTGGGTTGTTTCCAATTTTTATTGTGATGAATTATGTTTTTTGTTTTTTTGTTTTGAGATTAGGTCTCACTCTGTCACCCAGGCTGGAGTGCAGTGACATGATCTCAGTTCATTGCAACCTCCGCCTCCTGGGTTCAAGCAATTCTCATGCCTGTGCCTCCAGAGTAGCTGGGATTACAGGCATCCACCACCACACCCAGCTAATTTTGTATTTTTAGTAGAGATGGGGTTTTGCCATGTTGTCCAGGCTGGTCTCAAATTCCTGACCTCAAGTGATGTGCCTGCCTCTGCCTCCCAAATTGCTGGGATTACAGGCATGAGCCACCGTGCCTAGCCCAATAATACTGCTTTTAAAAATACACGTTTCTTGTTGCACATGTGGCCACATTTTTGTTGAATGTATACCTCAGAATAAAATTGTTCTGTCTTAGGGTAATGAATCTTGAACTTTACTTGATAATGTCACCTGTTTTCTAAAACAGTTGTAACAATTTTTACTCCACTGGTATTGTAGACTTCAAGCATTCCATATCTTCCCCAATACTTGCAATTCTGAGTATTTTTATCTTTAGCCTTTGGGTGTTTGTGTGATGGCATCTTATGGTGGTGATCATTTGCATTTCTGTAATTAATAAGATTGAGGAAGTTTTTTTTAAGATTATTAAGTATGTGGATATCCTTTTTTGTAAAGTAACTTTTTAATTTTCTTAACCATTTTTCTCCTGGATTATTCATCTTTTTTTCTCCCGATTGTAGTTCTTTGTGTATTCTGATTTCAATTCTGTTATTGGTCATAAATGTATTTCAAGAAAGCTTTTCTGCTCTGTGATTTGCCTTTTCTGTCTCTCAGGAGTAGCTTTTGGTTAACAGAAGTTCTTAGTTGTATTACCGTCATATGTATCATGCTTTCCCTTTATAAAGTTTGTGTTTTTGTGTCCTGATTAAGAAAATTTTCCTTGAGTTTAAAGGACATTTTACTACTGTATTTTCTTCGAGAAGGTTCATTCCTTTTAAAATTGATCTATGTGTGTGGTGTGAGGAAGGCGTCAGGTTTCATCTTTTTTCATGTATGGCTATCCAGTTATTCCAGCACACTGGTTCAGAAGATTTTCATTTCTTTACTACCCTGAGGAACATGAATCTGTTTCTGACATTTCTCTTCTGTTCATTGATTTTTCATCTGTGTGCCAATAGCACAACTATCTTACTGTAGCTTTCTAATATGTCCTCATCATCTTCTTCTTTTTCTTCACAATTGTTTGGGTATTTTAGGTCATCTATATTTCCATATAAATTTGGGAATCAACTAGTCAAATTACAAACACTGGGTAGAAATTTGTTTGGAATTGCATTGAATTTATAGACTGGGGAGAATTGAATCTTTACAATATTGACTCATCCAACCCATGAACAGAGGTATTCTCTCATTTAGTTAGGTCCTCTTCAATTTCTCTTTATAATGCTTTCTCATTTTCTGTATAGAAAGCGTGCATATTTTTGGTGAGATTTATTCTTAGATTTTTTTTGTGGTTATTTAAATGATATCCCTTTAAAATGTTTATTTTCTAAATGTTTTTTGTTGTTTTAAATGCAGTTCATTTTATTTATTAATCTTGCAGTTAGCAACTTTCCTAAACTCACTTTTTTTTTTTTTTTTTTTGAGGCAGTCTCATTCTGTCACCCAGGCTGGAATGCAGTGGCATGATCATGGCTCACTACAGCCTCAACCTCCCTGGGCTCAGGTGATCCTCCTATATCAGCCTCTTGAGTAGCTAGCACTGCAGGCAGGTGCCACCATGCCTAGCTAATTTTTTCATTTTTTTGTAGAGATGGGGTTTCGCTATGTTGCCCAGGTTGGTCTCAAACTTCTGTGCTCAAGTGATCCGCCAGCCTCAGCCTCCACCTCCCAAAGTGCTAGGACTGCAGGTCTGAGCCACCGTGCCCAGCCTAAACTCACTTATTAGTTCTACTAATTTATCTATAGATTCTTTTGGATTTTATGGTACACGATTACATCATATGAAAATAATAAATTATATTTTTTCCATTTCAGTCATTCATCTCCCCTAGCACTGGCTAGAACATTCAGTACAGTGTAGAATTAGAAGTGGCCATAGCAGCCATCAACATACAGTTCCATTATCAAAGGAAAAGCTTTCAACATCTCTCCAAATGCTTTACGAGTGTGTGTGTGTGTGTGTGTGTGTGTGTGTGTGTGTATTAGTGACCATTTATCGATTAAGAAATTCCTTGGCTGGGCGCCTTGGCTTACACCTGTAATCCCAGCACTTTGGGAGGCCCAGTGGGGGCAGATCACTTGAGGCCAGGAGTTTAAGACCAGCCTAGGCAACATGGTGAAACCCTGTCTCTACTAAAAAATACAAAAATTTGCGAGGTGCGGTGGCACATGCCTGTAATGCCAGCTACTCCGGCTGAGGCACGAGAATCACTTGAAACCAGGAGGCAGAGGTTCCAGTGAGCCAAGATCGCACCACTGCTCTCCAACCTGGATGACAGAGTAAGACTCTGTCTCAAAAAATGAAACAAAAAAAAAAAAAAAGAAAGAAAGAAAAAAGAAATTCGTTTAGCTTGCTAAGAGTTTTTTTTTTTAAATCATGAATGGATGTTGAATTCTTAAAGATTTTTCTGAATCTTTGAGATGATAATTTTTCTACTTTATCCTATAAATAAATGTGGTTAATTGCATTGATTAAGTGGTAAACCAACATGTTTCTGGAATAAATGTAATTTAGTTGTGCTGTATTATTTTGTTAAATACTTATTAAATTATTTTATTATTAAATTGCCGGATTCTGTCCGTTAATATTTTGTTTAGGATTTTCAAATTCATGTCTTCTGGGCAATTGGTTATAATTTTCCTTTCTCATAGTTTTTTCAAATCTTGGCTTCGTAAAATGAGTTAAATTTCATTTTCTCTGTTTTTATTCTCTGGGTAAATTTATGCATGCTGATTTTTTTCCTTCTTAAGTGTAAAGTGAAATTCACCAGTGAACGCACATTGGCCTAGAGTTTTCTCTGGAGAGAAGTCTTTAAATTATGGCTCAATTCCCTATATAGAATGTTTTTATAATTTTATTTCTTTTGCCCATTTTGGTAGATTATAGTTTTCCCAGCATTTGTCCATTTAATCTAACTTTGCAAATTGTCTTGACATCAAATTGTTCACAATATCATTTTACCATTTTAGTGTCTGCAGAGATGTTCCCTTTTTTATTCCTGACATTGCTTTCTTGGTGCCTTCTCCCCTTTTTTCTTCTGAGTAGTCTTACCACGGATTTATCAATTTTACTAGTCTTTTAAAAGAACCAAGTTTTTGGCCTATTTGTGGTCTCTATTTTTTACTTATTTTTTATTTCATCAATTACTATTATATTTAGTACTTTCTTCTGTACTCCTTGGGTTAATTTGTTCTTTTCCTGACTTCTTGACATGGATAATTCTTAGAGTGTCAACCACTATCTTTTCTATTTACCATTTAAGGCTACAAGTTTTCCTCTAAGAATTGCTTTAGTTTCGTCCCATAAATTTTTATTTTTAGTGTTTTTATTTTACTCAGTTCAAACTATGTTCCAACTTTGTGCTTGTTTTTTTTTTTGACCCATGAGTTATGTAGAAATATACTTCCTTATTTCCAAACATATGAGAATTTTGTATTTATCTTTAAATTTTTGATTTCTGATTATATTGTGTGGTGGACACAGAACATACTATGTATTTTTTTCTTTTTTAGTTCTTTGAAATTTGTTTAGACTTGCTTAATGGCCCAGAATTTGGTCGATATTGTCAAATGTTTTCTGTACATTTGAAAAGAACATGTATTATGCATTGTTGAGAACAGTGTTCTATGTACATCTATTTAACTCTTCTGTTTTCCTACTGACATTCTGTTTTCATTTGATTGAATTTTAATAATATAATTCTTTCCTTCTCACCGTCTGTCATTACCTTGGAAGTCATATACTGTTTTTCTATGTTTTTAGTAATTACTGTAAAGATTTCAACCTGCATCCTTGATTTAGCTATTAATTTTTGTTTATGTTGAGCCTGCATCTAGAAATCTTCCTAAAATCTCTCATTAGATTAAGGAGTTATTCTAAAGATTTACTTACTACACTGACTTTCTACACTGGTTAGGCTCTGTAGTATACTGTTAAATGGAAGCAGTGAAGAGAGGGCATTTTTGTTTAATTCCAGGCTTTAAAGAAAATGCTTTCAATATTATATCATTAATATGATGTTCCTGGTAGGTATTTTGGTAGATTCTCTTTGTTGAGTTAAGGAAGTTTCCTAGTTGTTAATTTTTAAAGTCACAGGTGCAGGCTGAATTTTAGTGAATGCTTTTTCCTGCATTAATTGAGATAATTGTAAGGTGTGTCTTCTTTAATCAATGAATATGATAAATTGCATTAATATAGATTTCTGATGTAGGATGATTCTTGCATTTGTTATTATTTGTTTTTTAATAGGCAAAAGACTTTCTTTTTCTTTTTGAGCTTAGATTTTTGGTATAAATTAGCTTTTAGATTTGGAAGTGCATATACAGGTTTATTGGTAATATTGTGTGATGCTGAGGTTTGGGGTATGATTGATCGCATCACCCAGGTACTGAGCACAAGACCCAATAGTTAGTTTTTCAACCTGTGTCCTTTTCTGCTGTGCCCCTTCTAGAACTCCCCAGGGTCCATTATTGCCACCTTGATGTCCATGAGCACCCATTGTTTAGCTTTCACTTATGAGTGAGAACATATGGTATTTGGTTTTTTGTTCCTGCATTAATTTGCTCAGGATAATGACTTCCAGCTGCATCCATGATGCTGCAAAGGAAATGATTTCTTTTTTTTTTTTTTTTGAGAGGGAGTTTCGCTCTTGTTGCCCATGCTGGAGTGCAATGGCGCAGTCTTGGCTCACTGCAACCTCCACCTCCCAGGTTCAAGTGATTCTCCTGGCTCAGCCTCCCAAGTAGCTGGGATTACAAGCGCCTGCCACCACACCCAGCTAATTTTTGTATTTTTAGTAGAGATAGGGTTTCACCAAGTTGGCCAGGCTGCTCTCGAACTCCTGACCTCAGGTGATCCACCCACCTCAGCCTCCCAAAGTGCTGGGATTATAGGCATGAGCCACCGCGCCCAGCCTATTTTTTGTTTGTTTTTGAGATGGAGTCTTGCTCTGTCACCCAGGCTGGAATGCAGTGGTGCAATCTCGGTCACTGCAACCTCCGCCTCCTGGGTTCAAGCGATTCTCCTGCCTCAGCCTTCTGAGTCACTGGGATTACAGGTGTGCACCACCATGCCCGGCTAATTTTTGTATTTTTAGTAAAGACAGAGTTTCACTATGTTGGCCAGGCTGGTCTTGAACTCCTGACCTCAAGTGATCTGCCTGCCTTGGCCTCCCAAAGTGCTGGGATTACAGATGTGAGCCACTGCACCTGGCCCATGGCTCTATTTTGAAGTATGTTCTTTTGATTCCTAGTTTCTTGAGTGTTTTTTTTTTTTTATCAAGAAAGATGTTGAATTTTATCAAAAGCTTTTTTTTCTGCATCTATTGAGATGATCATGTGGTTTCTGTTTAATTCTGCACCACATTTGGTTTGCATATGCTGAACCTTGTATCCTTGGAATGAAGCTTACTTGATCATGAACTTTTTGATGTGCTGTTGGATTTGGCTGTTATCCTGATGGGGCTACCTTTGTGTGTGATCTGGCCTTTTTCTCCAGTGCCTTTAGGGCTTTTTCTTTGACAGTGACCTTGGATAGTCTGGTGAGTATATGCCTTGGTAATGTTCATTTTTTATAGTATCTCACAGGTGCCGTCTGGCTTTATTGTACTTAGATGTCTATCTAGCAAGATTCAAGAAATTTTCTCGAATTATTCCATCAAATATGTTTTCCAGGCTGTTTTCTTTTTCTCTTTCTCTCTAGGGCATGCCAGTAATTCATAGGTTTGGTCACTTTACATAATCTCATATTTCTGACTTTCTTCACTTTTAAAAAATATTTTTTTCTTTATTTTTGTCTGACTGGATTAGTTCAAAAGACCAGTCTTCAAGCTCTGAAATTATGTTTTCTACTTTGTCCAGTCTGTTGATAAAGCTTTCAGTTGTATTTTGAAATTCCTTAGTGAGTTTTTTTTATTCTAGAAGTTCTGATTGATTTCTTATTAAGATGTTTATCTCTTCCTTCATTTCCCGGATTGATGTAGAAGTTTCTTTTTGTTGATTTCAACCTTGAATCTCATTGAGCTTCCTTGCAACCCAAGCTTTGAATTGTTTATTGTCATCTCTGAGTTTTCATTTTGGTAGGAAGCATTGCCAGAGAGCTATTGTGATCCTTTGGCAGTGTCACTACATTCAGATTTCTCATGGTTCCAGAATTCTTGCGTGGGTCCTTCTCATCTGCACTTCTAATTTGTGTAATTATTTTTGTTTGGGTAGGATTTTTCTTTTTCTTTCCTTTCCTATAATATTATTGTTATTTTTTTCTTCTTTCCCTTTCCCTTCTCCCTAGAGGGTGTGACTGTAGAGCATGCTGGGTAGGGTCTTTTGGCTTTGCTTCTGCAGCCCTATGCACTTCTGCCAGCAGGTTTTATATTGGGTGTGTGGTTTGACCTATGAGCCAGTAGATGGCGCCATGGGTAAGAGCTGGCTGTTGCCAGTGCTGCTGGCTGTGTACTTCATCCTTGTTTATTGGGAGGAGCTCTCTGTTGCCCCAGGCAATGGGCTGAAATCCTGAGTACACATTAATCTGAGCTCCCTCAGCCCTAGGGGTAGGGGGATTGGGGGCACAAGATGGGTGCAGCCAGATAGGGAAGATTCCCCCAGTGTTGTCCTGCTCCCAGTCCAGGTTTGGGAAAATGCCGGCAGCGTTTCCCTGTGTCTTTCCCCCACAAAGTCTCCAAGTCTCTTCTCAAATGAGCTCCAAGGCTTGGGAGAAACAATCTCTTCCTCTGCCCGGGTTGCATGGATGTCCAGTGGAAAGGTGAGACAGAGGGATGCTGTCTGCCTGTCTCACATACTGAGGCTTCACTCACTTTTATCAGTCGAATGCTGTCCTGAGGGCTGCTTGCCTGCATTGTCCTCCCCAGGATCTGGGATGTCCTTCAAAATTCCGGGGAATTGCCATTTTCTTTCTTGAATTAAAGCTCACAGAGTTGGTCTTTATGTACTTGCTTGCTATTTCCAAATGACTGAGGCAGGCATGCTAAAAGCCTGTAATCTGCCATCTTGGAAAAAACATCCTTGCATCCTTAAGAGAAATGGCACTTGGTGTTGATACATGGTGTTTCTACATTGCTGAATTCACTTTGAAAATATATGTATATTTTTAAATCTACATTTATATGTGAGACTGGTGTAAAAATATCTTCTACTGCATTTGTGCAATTTTGGAATCAGTTATATTAACGTACTAAATGAGTTGGGAATTTTTCTTTTTTACTATTATCCAAAAAAATCATAAAATACATGAATTGTTGCTTTCTTATAGATTTTAGTAAAAACCTCATCGTGTCCTTTTGTGGAGAGATGGTGAGAGATATTTTTACTGTAAATGTAATTTGCCTATTTTTCACCTGTGAGATGGAGGTCGCAATGAGCCAAGATTGTGCCACTGCACTCCAGCCTGCGTGACACAGCAAGACCCTGTCTCAAAAAAAAGAAAGAAAATCAAGTTAAAATGCACTCCTTGAATATTTCTGAGTGTATTTTTATACCACGTATGTTCTTGAACTAACTTCTTTTCTTTTCTAGATAGAACAGGAACTATGGTTTGTGCCTTCCTTATTGCCTCTGAAATATGTTCAACTGCAAAGGTATGAAAGATGTTCTACAAACTTTGTCTTAGGATGATTGAGTTTGCTAGTTCTGAAACATCACTGGCAGGACATTAAGATGATTATTTTAGTCATGGTGCTTAGTAAAATTGTAATTAGAGAAGCAGTCTTTAGAAAGTCTGTTTTTGATACTTTCTTGTTTAATGTGCACTAGTTAGTAGCTGACTTCAGAATCTCTTTGGGCCAGGACTAGAGTGAGGTCAATGAGGTGCAAAATTTAAGGGAATGCTAAAAATTGTAATAATTAAAATAAATAATTTTAACGCAATATTTTAATAAAAATTAATGCAAAAAATCGATGATGTATACAATATCAACATGTTAAATAAAGACAAGACCTGATGGGGCAGGATTAAGGTGAGGGGAGTAAAGCCATGTTACACAGAAAAAAACATTCAGTAATCAAGATGCTTCCCTCACTTCACCTGGCCCTGCTCTTCCTCCTGCCAGTACCATGACTTCTTCCTTCCTCGTGAGAATAGTATCAAGCTTAATTAGATAAATTCTCCAAAGAGCCTTGCCCATCCTCACAACTCTTAGGTAGATAAAAAGCAACATTTCACAACTCAAAACAAAGCCTCTCCTGAATGTAAATATCTTTGCTTAGTCAATACATGTGGAGTCTGTGACCTCTAAAAATTTCTGATAAGACAAGGTGGGCTGTTTCCACTTAAAGCAGAGTTCTCAGTCATTTTTCTTTCTGCCGTTTTCTTGCTGAGATGCTACCATTTCCAGCAGCTCTGCTCGAGTTGTTTGGCCTCAGTCTAGGGAAGAGGTGGTGGTTGTGCACAATGCCCAGACTCCAATTCCACCACCTTTGGTTTCTCTAATTTGAGATACACAGATTTTGAAAATGGGTGTTCTAGGATGGTGTTTTTCAAGCTATGGATCATGATTTATCAGTGAGTTTTAAAATAAAGTTACTGGATTGTAACTGACATCGTTTGAAAATAAAATGAATAGAGCAGAATAGAAAATATCCAAAGGTTTAAATATTGGTGTGTGTGTGTGTCTCCTAGGTTTATTAATGTGGATTGCAACTTAAAAAACAAAAGGTTTGAAAGTCATTGACAGCCATTGATCCAGAGCCCTAGACTGAGACCCAGGGACATGTATGCGAGGCCTGTGCTTCTTCTAACTGGCTGCAGCATCTCCTTGGCAGGTTGCTTGGTTTTGTTTTGGTCTCAGTGTTGTCATTTGTAATATGGAAAGAAGGGTTGGACCAGATGCTTTCTAAGGTGTTTCTAGCTCTAAAATTTTATGAATGTATGAATCCTTGAATGAGAGAAGTCCTAATTTTGTTATTTTCGGTAGCCTCTGCCCAAAGATCACTGCGGCCGGGCACGGGTGGCTCACGCCTGTAATCCCAGCACTTTGGGAGGCTGAGGCAGGCGGATCTCTTGAGGTCAAGAGTTTGAGAGCAGCCTGGCCAACATGGTGAAACCCCTATAGCTACTAAAAATACAAAAAATTAGCTGGGCATGGTGGTACACACCTGTAGTCCCAGCTACTCAGAAGGCTGAGGCAGTAGAATCACTTGAACCCAGGAGGCAGAGGTGGCAGTGAGCTTAGATCCTGCCACTGTACTCCAGTCTGGGTTACAGAGCAAGACTCTACCAAAAAAACAAACAAACAAACAAAATCACTGACTTTAGGAAAGAAGGTGGGCGTAGAAACACTAAGGGTACCTAATATAGGAAAGGAAAGAGTGCAGATGAACCATGGTTGGATTGTACCCTTTTTTGTAGGAAAGCCTGTATTATTTTGGAGAAAGGCGAACAGATAAAACCCACAGCGAAAAATTTCAGGGAGTAAAAACTCCTTCTCAGGTAAGTTTTCTTTTTAAAAATGGGAGTTTTTTTAGGGGTGTGGGTTCAGATTGCCACCTGTTATTTGGTTTCATTTTAGACTCCTCTCCTTTGGTGATCAGGCAGCAGCAGTTGGGTGCCCTGCAACAGGCCTTAGTCCCTCCCTGAGTCTGAGGGTCACGCTTCAGGTGCTGCCCACATGCTGGGGACTCTGGTTTCTCTTCAGAGAATCCTGCTTTCTATTCTATACTGGTTATTGTTTACAGAGCTCAGGAGTTGATTATTTTCCCAAAGTAGGAAGGTCCAGTACCCAAGGCTCCAGGACTCTGAAGTGTGTCTAAAATCACCAGCCTTTGATTTCAATGTAAAAAAGATCCAAGTCTTTCACAAACCCTTACTAGGACAATTCAACCCTTGCAGAACATCACAAAGACTGTTTTTGGATGACTCCTGGTGTGTGTGTGTGTGTGTGTGTGTGTGTCTTTTCTGTGTGTTGTGGGGGAGGTGTATTTTAAAAGAGAAAATAAAAGGGAAAATAAACTTTTCAAAACCCCTTCTGTATCCCAGACAGTATTGCACTTTTACATATCTCATTTAATACCCATAACACCTGTATGAAATATACACTGTTACTCTGTTTTTTCTTTTAGAAACATTTTGTTATGGAAAATTTTAATCATATACAAAAGTCCAGAGAATCATACACTATATCCTCATGTAGTCATCACATTGCTGCAACAGTATTTCAGCTGGCGCCAGTCACATTTCATCCATTCTTTCCCACTCCACTCACACCCCCCAACCCCACTCTCCACTCTTGTTTTCCCTAAATCTGAGTTATTGTAAAGGAAATTTCAGTCGTCAGATCATTTTATCACACAGCATTTTAGTATGACATTTAAGTACTCTTAAAACAACAAGAAAAAACCTTAACACTTTTTATCATATCTAACAATATTATACCTTAAAAATCCTTTATATCAAATTTGTAGTCCATGTTTGTTTCCAAAATTGTCTTAAAATCTTTGAAAATTTAGTTTGTTTAATCAGAATTCAAACAAAGTCCACACATTTCATTTGGTTGCTGTGTCTCCTAAGTCTCTTTTAAGAATCTAAGTTCATAGATTTCTCACCATTTTTTATTACTTGTAATTTGTTTATTGCAGAAACCAGGATGTTTATCCTATAGCATTTACAACATTCTAGACTTTGGTGAACTATTCTGAGGGTTCTCTATTCACTATCTCATTTAATATTCTCAGTAACTCTGTGAGTAGGCACTACTATGATTCTCATAAATTAGAAAATTGAGGTTTAGAGAAAGTAACCTTTGAACCAAGGACTGAAATCTAGATGTCAGTCTCTGAAGCCCTTGCTGTGCACAGCTTGTCATTTATATTGCCTTTTCTATATTGCCCCTGAAACCGAAGTGAGAGCGGGTTGGGAATTTCTAAATGGATTTGGATGTGGCTGTAAATGAGTTTTTCTTTAAGTGGTGGGAGCTGAGTAGAAGAACTCTCTAACTACTGGCCCTAAGCCTTTAGTTTGGGCCAGAAGAACTCAGCTTTATCCACTGCTACTTTTCTCCCACACCCAAGCCCCAAACAAAACAAAACAAAACAAAACAAAGATAGTCATAGACTCTAAGCTAAAAGTGATAGGTGAATTTACTGAAGTGCAGCCCTAATCATGCCATTTCCATGCTTAAAATCCATACTATGTCCCCACTGCCAATGGCAATAAACTAAACGTTTCAACCTGGCACTCAAGAGCCACTCTTTGACTTTTCCAACCTTCTCTTCCGCTGTGTGCATCACACATCCCATACTCCAACACATTTAGACTCTGTGCTCTTTCCCAGCCTATGGACACTTGATACCCTCATGCCATTGCTCATGCCCCTTTTCCTAGAGTCCCTTTCCCTTCTCAGCCTGAAGTAGTCTCTTGCTTTTTCAATTCTTAGAGCCCTTTGTGTTTCTTTTAGGGACTACGTCACTTTGCATCATTCTCTAGTTATTTGAAGTGGTGACTTCTGTATCCCCTTTAAAGGCAAAGCCCGTGGCTTACCCATCTTTCCACCCTTTTCTCATAATGTTTTCTTTGTTTGTAGTGAGTGCCTCCTATGTGTTGGTTGTATTAATTTCTACTACAAGTCCATGTTGTTTTAAGTTGTAGGAGAAGGAAGCGTGGGAGCACAAGCAGCTTGAGGGCCCTGGTGGTTTACAGCCCTTAGGGAAAGGTGGAGAATCTAGTGGCAGAAGCTAACGGGATGCTAGACGGAGCTCCTTCAACAACTCTCCCCACACATCTCCCCATCCCCATTTCTTCTGCAGTCGTGCATAGTTTCCCTAACTGTAGTCCAGAACTAGCACACCAAAGGCTGCAACTGAATCTCTTCTGATTCACCGAAAAAGCAACACAGGGACTCAGCTGCACGTTTGAGAGCTGTGTTGGCAAGACCTCAGGACAGAGTGCCCTCTGTGTCTGGTGGTGATTCTCAGACACCATCACATTCTGATCCTGCATTGTGGGCCATTCTACTGAGTGCATCTACTCCTAAGTTAAGGACTTTCATGAACCTGTCTCATGACTGGCCCTTTCTAAAGGGAAGTATGGCCGTTAGTTACTTTAATCAACATTTCCCAATGGGTAAGGAACAGTCTGTGAACTTATGAGTTTTGTTTTGTTTTGTTTTGTTTTTAATTTTTGAGACAGAGTCTCGCTCTGTCGCCCAGACTAGAGTGCAGTGGTGCAATCTCAGCTCACCACAACCTCGACCTCTTGGGTTCAAGTGATTCTCCTGCCTCAGCCTCCCAAGTGGCTGGGATTATAGGTGCCCATCACCACGCATGGCCTATTTTTGTACTTTTAGTAGAGACAGGGTTTCACCCTGTTGGCGAGGCTGGTCTCAAACTCCTGACACCAGGTGATCTGCCCGCCTCGGCCTCCCGAAGTGCTGGGATTACAGGCGGGAGCCACCATGATGGCCAACTTTTGAATTCTGAACCAGTTGTTTGAGTACCAGAGCTCTTCAATACCTTGAAGAAAGATTCAGGGGAGAGCTGTTGTGAACAGCTTGCCCCAGGGAAAGGACAAGGCTAAGACAATTTCAGGGCTTCCTTGGGAAAACAGAATTGAGGAAATGCAAAGTGAAGAAATTGTAGCTGTCAGGAACAAGAGAAGAGGGATGGGAAACCTGCTACTGAGGTTTGGAGGTATTCCTCTGGAGTTTTCACTTATACCATTCTCTCATGCCCAGGAAGCTGCTCATCACCAAACCACAAGTCTTCCTCTAACTCAGTCACAACTAAGCTTCTATCCAGACACTGATGATACTGTAACTGTTTTGTTGTGCTTCTGATTAGTTGCCCTGTCAACCATAAGCAGCCTATAAACAGGGCCTGGCTCCATCCTTGTTACTTCCCCATTGCACTGAATTCAGTATTTTTCCCTCAAGGTAGATAGTTGTGGGGCAGCATCCCTAAAAATATCTAGTTATATTATGGCATCCAGTAAATGTTTCCTTAATTACTTACCTCCATTAACAAGCTTTATGCAAAAAAAAAAAAAGGAATGCCGACTTTAGACTTTTCATCTCCACTTAAAGGAAGATTTCTGTTGCTTTTCAGAAGAGATATGTTGCATATTTTGCACAAGTGAAACATCTCTACAACTGGAATCTCCCTCCAAGACGGATACTCTTTATAAAACACTTCATTATTTATTCGATTCCTCGTAAGTGCTTTATGTATAATTGAAGAATTGGGCAGGAGGGCCAATGTCCCCACTCTGGGAGGGTTTTGCTCATAGTTGTATATACAGATGATCCTAACTCATACTTGTCTTTTTACATATCCTCACACAGGAACTCCTCCTTATTTATGCCGCTCCTCCTGCAATTGCCCATTGATTGCCAGCCCTTAGATGTTCTTCACTTTTTCTTTTCCATCACCAATTTGGGGGACTTCATCCCTTTCCCATCTCTCCTGTTCTCATTGCTCCTCTGGTCTCAACCCAGGCGGACTTTTCCGGGCAGAGGGAGCCTCTGATGAGGGAGGAGGAGGACCCATGTGCCCTCAAGCCTGCTTATTTCTCAGAACCACCTCTAGTTCAGAGTTTGCCTTGGTGGAGGTGTCTCCGTATCGTATCATTTTCTCACCTTCTTTTAGAGGCATTTTTTTTCTCATCACCCTGGGCTCTCCCTTTCCCCTCTCTCCTCCATCTGTAACCCTCTCACTCCCAGCTTACACTCAGGGGAGGTGGGAAAGCAGGATGTGTCTGTGTGGAAGGGATGGGGCCTCACCACTCCCACTGCCGGAGATGTAGCAGGGAGGCGATGCTTCAGAACCCCTAAAGCAAACCTCTTCTAGCAGCCAGCTTGTGGACCTGAGATGGTGCCAGTGCTGGGTGCTATAGGTGCCATGGGGCCAGGATGCTGGTGTCCACACAGACAGCCTAGTATTTTTAGCCTTCTGAGTTTAGTTCTACATTTCACTGATTTCTGGTAGACATCAATAGAAAGAAGTTCTGCACTTGGAATGGGAAAGAGGGAACTGAGGCAAGAAACTGTGATTTCTAATGACAAATAAATATGGTGTTAGTGAAAACAAAATTAAATGAAAACAAACAGCATATGAGATGAACAAAGATAATACACTAGTTTATTAAAATATTTGTTTTAATTCTCTACCTTTAGTTTTGTGAACATTTAAATTAAAATCAATGTAGAGTTGAGAGGAAAGCAATAAAAAAATTAATTGGCTGAGAAACCAAGTCTTTGAGGAAATGCTAAGGGAAGTGGGTCATTTCAATTTGGAAAAAAAGGAACAAAAAAGCCTTTGTCTGTAAATATATACTGAACACCACTGGAATTTTTGGATATAACTATCGTATATTTTTATAGAGATTGCATCAGGAACTGGCCTTAAAGTAGGGCCAAAGTACTTAAACGACAGTATTTATTATTAAGAATCATTATGATTAGAAGTCTGAAGAAAGCAACATATTAGCAAGAAAGGTTGCAAAGGTTGCAAGTCACCTTTCCTGAATTTTCTTTTTTCTTTTTTTTTTTTTTTTTTTGGAGACAGAGTCTTGTTCTGTTGCCCAGGCTGGAGTGCAGTGGTGTGATCTCGGCTCACTGCAGCCTCTGCCTGCCGGGTTCAAGCAATTCTCCTGTCTCAGCCTCCTAAGTAGCTGGGATTACAGGCATGTGCCACCACGCCTGGCTAATTTTTGTATTTTTAGTAGAGATGGGGTTTCACCATCTAGGCCACGCTGGTTTAGAATTCCTGACCTCAAGTAATCGACCCACCTCGCCCTCCCAAAGTGCTAGGATTACAGGTATGAGCCACCATGCCTGGCCTAGCTTCCCTAAATATTTTTTCTGGAAAGATAAAAGTGATGGGATTCTAAGTCTTCGAAGCTGAACTATATGTATTTTTTTTCCTCTTCTCTCATCTTATAAAATCTGCTTTAGGAGACAGAACTGGGCTTGAAGGCTTGTCTTTCAAAGACAAAATCCATGCAAGACCAAATAAGTGACTATTGATACATTGTTAGCTTGGATAATTTTTTCTCATTTTAATCCATGATGTTAATTGGTGAGACATATTGATGTTCACGCTAGCCAACCTAACTTTTTAATTTCATTTTGTTGGAACAGGTTATGTACGTGATCTAAAAATCCAAATAGAAATGGAGAAAAAGGTTGTCTTTTCCACTATTTCATTAGGAAAATGTTCGGTAAGAGAAAACATGTGAATTGAAAAAATCTGATGTTTGTTTTAAGGCTGAATGTCAAACCAGCAATGTTCACCTCCCTAAACTATCACTCACCATAAAGAGATTCCATAACGCTTTCTGGTTACCATCCAACTTGGTGTCATTGGGTTTGGATGCAAACCAGAGATAAATTAACCTGTTTGTTCAAAACAGTTTTTTCAGGGTGCTTTCCAGAATTTATTTCTGGTCAGTGTTGCTTTCCCTTTCACACTTCCACAAACACTGAGCGTGTTCCCAGGAATGTATTAAGGATTTTAATTTACATTATCTGGTCATTTTTAACCATATTCTCTTCTTCTCCGTCATTTGATCTTTTGTTATATAGCACTGATTCTAAAAGTTTAGTGTGCATGAAAACTACTGAGGAGCTTGTAAAGATTTACATTCCTAGGTTGTACCCCCAAAGTATGATTCAGGAAATCTGGAATGGGGCCCAGGAATCTATAGACTTAGCAATGTCCCAAGTGATTCTAAGTCAGAGGTTCTGTGGGATGACCCTGTGAGAAACAATGCAAGAGTGAATGAACGGGGGAGGAACCTCTTTATCCAAAGCAAAAGGGACCTGGTAGTCAATGTTTTGCTTCAATGAAGAAATGCCTAAAACTATATACCTTTTCTGAAACAGAAAGCATCTTTCATGGTCTAATAACCATAAACTTTTAGAATTCCTACCCAGGCCTTTGTCTCAAATTCTCCTATTACTAACCCTATTCCCTGCCATGCCCTCCCTACTCTGCGCCCGGCTTTTTTGGCCTCTCCCGACTGAGGGCATTCACCCAGGCCTGACCCTTGGCTTTGTGTTCTTAGCAAATACTTTACTCTTAAAGGATGACCCGTTCCCCTTACTTCAACTATTATTTGTTCATTTACTCATAACAACTCATAACAGCCAATTATGAGCACCCGCTGAGTTGTAGATGCAGGAGCTACAACATGAACAGTTTCCACTCCAACTCAAATGCATTAGCCAGTCTGAATTATCAAGGAGCTTTCTCTCTGCTTCTGCAAATGGCACCAGCATTCTTCCACTCATGCCTTGGGCTTTGATTCTCTTTGCCTCGGCCCCCTAAATCCAGTTAGTCATCAATCTCTGTTGATTATGCCTTTGACAGTTTTCTATGTTCTCCTTCCTTTCTGTTCTCACTGCCACTAATTGTCCAGAATCTCCTTTGCTCATGCCTAGATTTCCGCAGTGGTCTCCTTACCCTTTCTTTCTCCTTCTATAATGCAATGTATAGAATCCTGAAATATGCATTCTGAAATATTGCTCTCGTTGTGAAAAATTGTAGGTAGAGCAGAAGACACACTGTGTGCCTGTAGTCAGAGCCAGTTAACACCTCTGGCTCAACATCCTTATCTGTAAAATAAATATCACATCTCAAGTGTAATGGGAATTAAATTAGATAATATATATAAAGTTTCTTTGTAAACTATAAATCACTAAATAAGTGTTATATGTGATAATTATCAGGCCTCTTTGTCACATAGGAAATGCTCAACCATATTTTTCAACAACGTCACTCTTATTTCCTTGGCTCTTGAGCTCTGAAGATATAATAGCCCTAACGTGTAATACCTGAGCTTTTTTCCATGAGTAGCTTGACCAGCAGACTTCATTCCAAATAAACTGGGTCATCCCTTTTGGCTCTTGGAACACAACTCTAATTTAGTTAGTTAGTTAGTTAGTTAGTTAGTTGGTTCTTTCTTTCCTTCCTTTCTTCCTTTCCTTTTTTTTTTTTCTTGAGCCAGGGTCTCATTCTGTCACCCAGGCTGTAGCACAGTGGCATGATCATGGCTCACTGCAGCCTCAACCTCCTGAGCTCAAGCAATCCCCCAATTTTTTTTATTTTTCATAGAGGCTGGGACTTGCTATGTTGCCCAGGCTGGTCTCAGACTCCTGGGCTCAAGCAGCCTGTCCACCTCAGCCTCACAAGATGCTGGGATTATAAACATGAGCCACGCTGCCCGACATTATTTGTTGTTGTTTTTCCAATTTTTTTCTTTTTCTTTTTTTTTTTTTTTTGAGACGGAGTTTTGCTCTTGTTACCCAGGCTGGAGTGCACTCTCGCAATCTCAGCTCACCACAACCTCTGCCTCCTGGGTTCAAGCGATTCTCCTGCCTCAGCCTCCCAAGTAGCTGGGATTACAGGCATGTGCTACCACACCTGGCTAATTTTGTATTATTAGTAGAGACGGGGTTTCTCCGTGTTGGTCAGGCTGGTCTCAAACTCTTGACCTCAGGTGATCTGCCCACCTCAACCTACCAAAGTGCTAGGATTACAGGCTTGAGCCACTGTGCCTGGCCCATTTTTCTAATTTCTACTTTGTGTTATTGCTGGTCTTTTTCCCTCCATTTGGACTAGATTCTGTTTTCAGAGCTCTTCTTCCTTTATCTAAACTGCTTCATGCCCAATTCAATTTCTACCTCCTTAATGAAATTTTTGCATTCTGCACCTTCTGTTAACTAGCCCCCAATAGTGCATAACAGCACACCCAGTCTTTATCATACAGATTGAGTTATGTACCATTCTACTATTGTTTCTTAAGTGTACAGCTCCCTGAAGGGGCCAACTGAGTCTGCACCCCCTTTTGTGTTTTTCACAGGGCCTAGTATAGACCTTTCTTATTGTGGGTGCCATTATTTCTATGAGAATGAGTCAAAGAACTAGTACAGCGTCAAAGTCATTCATTCCAAAACTTGAGCTATCTTTGGTTACTCCATCCAGCAGCCTGCACTGGTCAAGTTCAAAGATCCCATTGACAAACACAAGAGTTCTGATAAAACATGATGAGCAGGGGGACCCCACTCTCCCCCTCCCTTGGGAGGAGCATGCTGGCCCAACCCCCAAGTGTTACAGACCCCCGTTGTTATTTTTTAAATTCAGAAAATAAAAAACCGTGATAAGTTATGCATTGCTTTTTGAATGTCAATGCTAGCTTTAAAATTGACCTTCTTAATGTATTCTCAAAAAAGGCCCTAACACATAAAAATCAAATGACACACATTAAATAATAATATTTAATTGATTACAGTCTAATGGAAAATTCAATACTTTTTAAAAGTGCGGCACTTTTGAAAAGTGCCTCATAGCTGGGCACGGTGGCCCATGCCTGTAATCCCAGCACTTTGGGAGGCCAGGGCAGGTGGATCACGAGGTCAAGAGATCGAGACCATCCTGGTCAACATGGTGAAACCCCGTCTCTACTAAAAATACAAAAATTAGCTGGGCATGGTGGCACGTGCCTATAGTCCCAGCTACTTGGGAGGCTGAGGCTGGAGAATCAGCTGAACCTGGGAGGCAGAAGTTGCAGTGAGCCGAGATCATGCCACTGTAGCCTGGCGACAGAGTGAGACTCTGTCTCAAACAAAAAAAAAAGAAAAGAAAAGTGGTTCATGATAACCCTCAAATATGTTGGCCTTTAAAAGACATAAACAACAGGCCAGGTGCAGTGGCTCATGCCTGTAATCCAGTACTTTGGGAGACCCAGGTGGGCAGATCACTTGAAGCAGGAGTTTGAGACCAGCCTGCCTAATATAGTGAAACCCCATCGCTACTAAAAATTCAAAAATTAGCTGGGTATGATGGCATGTGCCTATAGTCCCAGCTACTTGGGAGGCTGAGGCACAAGAATCACTTGAACCTGGGAGGCAGAGGTTGCAGTGAGCCGAGATCATGCCACTGCACTTCAGCCTGGGTGACAGTGAGACTCTGTCTCAGAAAACAAAAAGCAAATGTAAACACACACGCATAAACAACAGTATTGCAACTAGAAGAGATTATTAATAATTATTTATGTATGTAGTGATTGGGCTGTGAGACCAAAAGTACTTGATAAATACAGGAAGTCATGATAAGTGAAAAGGAACTTCATTGTTATCATTATCTAGGTTTATAGTTCTCAATTCCATGTGTTCATTCATAGGTACTTGATAACATTACAACAGACAAAATATTAATTGATGTATTCGACGGTCTACCTCTGTATGATGATGTGAAAGTGCAGTTTTTCTATTCGGTGAGTAATCACAAAGTAGCCTCTGCCATTGTTCTTGTCTGGTCTAATGATTTCATGTAAGATTTGCTTTACTACAATTCCCAACAAGGGAGGGGTAGGGGGAAGAAAACAATAAATCAGATCTATAACAAATTTTTTTAAAAGAGCGTATGTAATTTAAATAATTTTTGTTCATTTGTTTTTTTCTAAATTGTAAATTTTCTAAATTTTTCTAAATTTACATGTATTCTCAAATACAAAAAATACAAAATAAACACACACACAAAGTCAAGATGCTAAAAAAAAAAAACCCCAAAGGTATGTTTTACTGCATAGCATTGATTACATTTTGTTTTGCATCTTTTTTAAAAAATTAAGAAATTGAGACAGGGTCTCACTGTGTCACCCAGGCTGGAGTGCAGTGACGTGATCATAGCTAACTGTAGCTTCAACCTCCTGGGCTCAAGCAATCCTCCCACCTCAGCCTCCCGAGTAGCTGGGAGCACTGACTGGAAAGAGAGTTAGGTTTGGGTGACTCAGTTGGGTGAAACAGAGAAGGCAGCACAATACAACACATGAAATAACCGAAGCAGTTTTTTATTAATTCCAGAGAGAGGAGGGCAGCACACTTCGCAGGGCCAACTAGAAGGGGGAGCCATCCAGGAGACCTGTGCTCGACTGATGGGTGGGAGCAATAGCGAGAGAGAGGGAGGGACCTGAGAGTGGAAGCCTTTATTGGGATGTAAGGTGCTACCTGAGCAGGTTTCCTGCGGGGAGGTCTAATTTGGTTTAATGCAAGCAGCTATGAGTCTCTGCTGTGACTGAGAGGTGGTCACTGATATATCCACATGGTCCCTGCAGAGTATGGGGGTCTGTGGGGTGAGTCAAGTAGGTTATATTTAGCTGTCCCATAGTGAAGTGGTCATCATGAGAAGGTTGTGTAAGGCAGATATCAGGATCAGTCACATGGAGAAACTGGGAGGAGGTGAACGGGAAACTGCTGCGGGTGACTGAACCCCGCTTCTGATATCAGAAAATCCAATTTATAATTAAAAGGGATGCTGAGGCAACAAAAAAATTACAAGAATTCACTACAATGTAGTTGGGTATATATAGACATAGGTCCTTAGTAGAGTCTGTTTGGCACTATCTAAACCAGATTCAAATAGCAGCATTTAAATTAAATACCTATCATGGGAAAAATACTATTCCTTGAAAATTTTGATAGAAACAGCAAGAGAATGCAGTAGCATTTTCTTAAAGCCTCCTCCTTTGTGTCTTGAGTGTATTGTTATAGATTGCAGAGTGCCACATATTTAATGGTTATAATTGTTTGATAAATATAAAAAAGAATAAAGAAAGGAACTTCAATTTCTTTGGAATGATTAGTTCTTGGTATCAGTTTTACTTTGAAATTTTTTTTTCTTTTTAGAATCTTCCTACATACTATGACAATTGCTCATTTTACTTCTGGTTGCACACATCTTTTATTGAAAATAACAGGTATGAATATAATAGAAACCCATAGAAACAGCCTAATCTTCAATGTCTATGTATAAGGTGTAATGGCAAGTCTTTTGCTGGTTGTCATAAACTTAATTTATAGAAAGCAAAAAATCCTTGAACCACCATTGTTCCTTGCCTTACTCTTCTTACTTTGGTTATTTTAAAAATCCATTTGTTCTTGAGACCCACTGTTGCAGTATCCTCAGGGTCCATGCCATAGGACTGTGTTACGAGTTCAAAAGTATTATCATCAGATCTTAAGTGTGGTAGTAAATTCCTCCCAGAGAAGTTCAATATGAGGCTGCTCAGCACCTTCAATATGTCAGGTCCCTGTCAGTAGGTGTTGATTTACCAATGATGAACCACCATCAACTTTTGTGCTAAAGGAAGGCAGGACCTAGGGAGGCTTCAGCTAGCTGAAAAGCTGACTGACACACTTATATCTAGGAGAAGTCACAAGACACAGTATTAAGGAATACAGCTAAGAAATATCATTAAGTAATAGTCTATTTAAATAGCCATTCAAATATGGCTTTCTAATAACTGAATTGGGAAACCTTTCTGAAAAATTATTAATTGGATTTGGAGATTATTGTTCCAAAAAAACCTTCTGCCATATTTGGAAACTCATTTCTCAGTCTAGAAGTTCTCCACTGTAAGTAGCATTTGTTTTGTGATGGTGAAAAATTGAGACTTTTTTTGTGTCAACCATACTCTTCAATACAAAAGGACAAAATATTTTTTAAATGATTTAGGTCAGAGTTGAAGAAGTGGCTATGATTATATGTGGCATGAATTGATAGTTATTGTTACATCCAGTCCTAATCTTTTCTTCAAATGTGAACTGGATCGAATGATTCCTTAAGTCCAGCAAGGCAACAGGAAATTAAACCTCTGGTCTGCACACTTGCAATGCAAAACATTTAATGGATTTTGATAGAGTCAACTTTGTATTTGATGGAAATTTTTTACAAGTTTTTTTTTTTGGATGCATACAAACAATAAGCTTTTTATTCTAACATGAGCAAAGACCCTCAAAAAGTGAGACCTGGGTGGAGCTTCATTTGATGCTGCTCCTCAAAAGTGGTTCTTGCTAAAGGATACCATTTTTTTTTTCCTTTAAAACACTATGTTCATTTTGGAGAAGTGATAAGCTAGGTCACTTTTATTCTTATTTTATATAAATTTCTAAAGATTTCTGTAACATTTAAATTTACATCCTACTTGGTAAAGCTGTTTTTGTTATGAGATTGTTGTTTAGCTAAAAATGCTAACTTCTATCATTGAGAACACGAGGCATAAATGGGTTAACCAATTTATGCCTAGTGTTCCATTATTGGAACACTCAGCATGTGGGAGTTATATCCTACTGCTCAAGGTCATTTCCAAGGTCTGATTGTAAAAATTCAAAAAATTGCAACCTCACACATAAATTAAAAGAGATATAGTATTTTATTACTGGGCTTTCATTCATGTCTATCCTGACTGATTTCTGTCACAGAGAGAAATTTAGATATTTTATTAAACTTGGATGTCATTAATTCCATATAAAGCAATGCTAAGAGAGTCAGCATGTGTTACTGATGTGTTGCTGAAGATTAAAGTATTTTTATGTCTCAGTAAAAAGGTGGAAGGAGCCAACTGAGACACAAAAAAAGGGCTGAGGTTCTATTCATGGTGAGGTTCTTTTTTTGTTTCTTCCAGCTCTAACGTGGGTACCCAACTGTGTGGCTTTTCAGTGAGCCCCAATATAAAATGTAATAATTTTTTTCTATTCTTAGGCTTTATCTACCAAAAAATGAATTGGATAATCTACATAAACAAAAAGCACGGAGAATTTATCCATCAGATTTTGCCGTGGAGATACTTTTTGGCGAGAAAATGACTTCCAGTGATGTTGTAGCTGGATCCGATTAAGTATAGCTCCCCCTTCCCCTTCTGGGAAAGAATTATGTTCTTTCCAACCCTGCCACATGTTCATATATCCTAAATCTATCCTAAATGTTCCTTGAAGTATTTATTTATGTTTATATATGTTTATATATGTTCTTCATAAATCTATTACATATATATAGATAAAATGTCAGTGTCTTTCTTCTTTTTTGAAGGTACATACTTCACAGTTTCCATCTTGTATTTACCTAAATTTGGAACACAGTATGCAGGAACATCAGGCATCATTTTGAAGAACTTTGAAATAGAACTTTCAAAGCAAAAACTTGAGATATTCAAAAATTGTGATTCCCCAACACCCACTTACTTACATATTTTTGGTCAAGTATTTATTCCCTGCTTTGGTTCACATTTGTAATTTCAGATTTATTAGAAAGCTAATTTATATATTTTTCTTCCCCTTCATTTACAAACTGTCTGTTAACAGATTGGCAACCAAGACTAAGTTTTAAATCCAGAAGAGAGAAATGTTTCACGCAAGCAGTCCCCCAACTCCCAACACACACTCCCTTTCATTCCGAGCACTAAATAGGTAGCTTACTTGACAAGCTTCCTTTAATTACACACAGACATGGAGGTTGGGGTAAGAAGATGGTGGTAAATATGAAGATAAGTAATCTTTAATAACTTCTGCTTTTGTATAAAATTGTAAGTGAAGTGAAAAGAAATATTCTTAGAGTAATCTAGGTGTATTATTTTGAAATTCACTATTCCTGCTCACAACCAACTTCACCTAAGCTTGGGGGACTCTGAAGGGAGGTTATCTTTGCGTTATAAACACTGGTTAGCCTTATGTCTACAGGAAATCATTATTATTTCCTCTTTGGTGCTGGGTGCTACTTTTTTTTAACAAATTTTTTATTTGTATTTTTTATTTTTTGAGACAGCATCTCACTCTGGTTGTCGAGACTGGAGTGCAGTGGTGTGATCTTGGTTCACTGTAGCCTCAACCTCCCAGGCTCAGGTGATTCTCCCACCTCAGCCTCCTGAGTAGCTGGGACTACAGGCGCATGCCAGCACACCCAGCTAATTTTTTGTATTTTTATTAGAGACGAGGTTTTGCCGTTGTTGACCAGGCTGAGCTCAAATTCCTGAACTCAAGCAATCTGCCTGCCTCAGCCACCCAAAGTGCTGGTATTAAGGCATGAGCCACCAGGCCCAGTCCATGGGTGTTAATTCATTCAAAATACCTTTATTGCCACTGTATCTTCCGGCCATGATTGTCCTTGAAAACCTTCTATCTTGGCTTTATTGAAATTATTCTTATTTGAATGATTTTCCTTTTATTGGCAAGTCCCTCAACAATCTAGACCAAGATTCGTTCATCAGGAAATGAAAGGTAACAACTAATAAGACAAGTGTCACTGCTAAAACACGATAAACTCATTCCTGAAAAACCTAGCACTCTACAGAAAGGACTGAAAAAAGAAGCAGTTCATGAAAATACAGGGTTTGAGAGTCCAGGGCAAACCTGTCTGGCATAGCAACTTTCTAACCAACACACTAACCGCTGGGACCACCCACATCAGCAGCTCAATGTCGGGAGTTTGCCATAGAGCTTTTTAATTTTTGAGTGGAAATAGAAAAACACTTGCTATAAGGTCTGTGGGTACCAAGTGGCACAGATGAGAGTAGAGCCCTGAGCCATGGTGGGCACGGAAGGCAGCAACCTGCCAGGAGCCAAGAGCCCCACTAGGTTGGTGAGCCGCCTCGCTGCAGGTGACTTCTTCTCCTCTAAATAGTCCAAAAAAGGTTCCAACTGCCCGTGCAGCAGCCCAACTAAAGGTCTTTTTCCTTTACTCCCCCTGATCTGGCTCCTTCTTTGAGGAAAAGATCGTAGAACATGCTTTCAAATTACTTTCATGTTAATATTATACCCTGCCATACATACGACAGAAACGTGTAGGCACAACATAGGTTATGCTATTTCCTTTAAAATTCACACAGCGATAATCTACAGAGGGCAGATTATGTCCTGGGTTTAGGTGAATAGGGAGGAAAATACTTAGCTGGCTCAGTGAAGATTAAGATCTGTCTTTTTCAGTACTAGAAACACAGGAAAGAAGGAAACTCCCTTTTTTATTTTAAGGATTTCCCTTTTTGAAATAAGGAGATTACCATTAAGGTTTCTCTTCCCCAGACCTCCAAGACCCATCAAAATTTCTGGAAATTGTGAGTTGTCACACTATTCTGCTTTTGCTTATTCAAAGAAAACTCATTTAAGGCCTCTTTGGGTGTTGTTTTCTTAGAATGCAAAATGAATGATTCTTTGAACAACTCAAGAAACTTAGATCAGAATGATACTCATGTCTTAAAATTTTAGCTTTAATTTTAAATATGGGGGTATGTGTGCAAGTTTGTCACATCAGTATATTGCACCCCGGTAGAGAGCATAGTACCCAATAGGTAGTTTTTCAACCTGCACCCCTCTCCCTCCATCCCCCTCTAGTAGTCCACAGTGTCTGTTGTTCCCAACCTTATGTCCAAGGGTACCTGTTGTTTAGCTCTCATAGGTGAGAATATGTAGTATTTGGTTTTCTGGTCTTGCATTAATTTGCTTAGGATAATGGCCTCCGGCTCCATCTACGTTGCTGCAAAAGACCTGATTTCACTCATATTTATGGCTGTGTAGAATTCCATCGTGTGTATGTACCACATTTTCTTTATCCAATCCACCACTGATGGGCACCTAGGTTGACTCCATATCTTTACTATTGTGAATAGCACAGCAATTAACATATCAGTGTGTGTGTCTTTTGGTAGAGTGGTCTTTTTCCCATTGGGCATATATCCAATAGTGGGATTACTGGGTCGAATGGTAGCTCATTTTAAGTTCTTTGAGAAATCTCCAGACTGCTTTCCACAGTGGCTGAACTAATTTACACTCCCACCAACAATGTATAAACGTTCCCTTTTCTCTGCAGCCTTGCCAGCATCTGTTGTTTTTGACTTTTTATTAATCGCCATTCTGACTAGTGTGAGATGGTATCTCATTGTGGTTTTGATTTGCACTTCTCTGACAATTCGTGAAGTGAAGCATTTTTCCAGATGCTCATTGGTCACTTGTATGTCTTCTTTTGAGAAGTATGTGTCATGTTCTTTCCACATTTTTAATGGGGTTATTTGGTTTCTGCGTGTGGATTTGTGTAAGTTCCTTATAGTTTCTGGATATTAGACCTTTGTTGGATGCATAGTTTGCAAATGTTTCCTCCTGTTCTCTGGGTTGTCTGTTTGCTCTGTCGATCGTTTCTCTTGCTGTGCCAAAGCGCTTTAGCTTTATTAGGTCCCACTTGTCAATCTTTGTTGTTATTGCAATTGCTTTTGGGGACTTAGTTAAAAATTCTTTCCGAAGGCCAATGTCAAGAAGGGTATTTCTGAGGTTTTCTTCTAGGATTTTTATCACTTGAGGTCTTACATTTAAATCTTTAATCTATCTCCAGTTAATTTTTGTATATGATGAAAGGTATGGGTCGAGTATCATTATTCTGCATATTGCTAGCCAGTTACCCCAACACCATTTATTGAATAGGGAGTCCTTCCCCCATTGCTTGTTTTTGTCAGCCTTGCAATATCAGGTGGTTTTAAGTGTAAGGCTTTATTCTGGGTTTTCTATTCTGTTCCATTGGTCTATATGTCTGCTTTTGTACCAGTACCATGCTGTTTTGGATAATATAGCCTTATAGTTTGAAGCCTCTGGCTTTGCCTTTTGCTTAGATTTGCTTAGGCTATTGAGGCCCTCTTTTGGTTTCATATGACTTCTAGAATACTTTTTTCTAATTCTGTGAAGAATGACATTGGTAGTTTGATAGAAATAGCACTGAATCTGTCAATTGCTTTGGGCAGTATGGCCATTTGAATGATACTGATTCTTCCAATCCATGAGCATGGAATGTTTTTCCATTTAATTGTGTTATCTCTGATTTCTTTCTGCAGTGTTTTATAGTTCTTGTAGAGATCTTTCACATCCTTTGTTAGCTGTATTCCTAGTTATTTCATTTTCCTTGTCGCTACCATAAATGGGATTCTGTTCTTGATTTAACTCTCAGCCTGGACATTATTGGTGTATAGAAATGCTATTGATTTTTATACATTGATTTTTTATCCTGAAACTTTGCTAAAGTTATTTATCAGTTCTAGTAGCCTTTTGGCAGAGTCTTTGCTTTTCTGGATATAGAATCATATCATCAGTGAAGAGAGATAGTTTGACTTCTTCTTTTGCTATTTGGATGCCTATTCTTTCTTTCTCCTGCCTGAGTTCTCCAGGTAGGTCTTCCAGTGCTACGTTGAATAGGAGTGATGAGAGTCGGCATCATTGTCTTGCTCCATTTCTCATGGGGATTGTTTCCAACTTGTGCCCATTCAGTAGGTTGGTGGCTGTGAGTTTGTCATAGATGGCTCCTATTATTTTGAGGTATGTTCCCTTGATGCTGAGTCTGTTGAGGTTTTTAATGTGAAGGGATGTTGGATTTTATCAAAAGTTGTTTCTGCATCTATTGAGATGATGATATGGTTTTTCTTTTAGTTCTGCTTATGTGGTGAATCACTAAATGTGATTTACCACATTTAGTATGTTGTAAATATGAACATCATATTTGAACCAGCCTTGCATCCCTGTACTGAAGACTTGATTGTGGTGGATTAACTTACTGATGTGCTGCTGGATTCTGTTTCCTAGTATTTGGTTGAGAATTTTTGTGTCTATGTTAATCAGAGTAATTGGCCTGAAGTTTTCTTTTTGTGTGTTTCTCTGCCAGATTTTGGTATTAGGCTGATGCTGGCTTCATAGACTGAGTTAGGGAGGAGCCCCTCATCCTCAGTTCTTTGGAATAGTTTCAATAGAACTAGTACCAGTTCTTTGTACATCTGGTAGAATTCAGCTCTTGCGTCATCTGGTCCAGGGCTTTTCCTTGTTGGTAGATTTTACATTAATGATTTGATTTTTGAACTCGGTATTTGTCTATTTAAGGTTTCAATCTCTTTCTAATTCAATCTTGGGAGATTGTATGTTTCCAGGAATTTCTCCATTTCCTCTAGATTATCTAATTTGTGTGCATAGAGTTGTTTATAGTATTCTCTGAGGATCTTTTGTATTTCTGTGGGATTGTTTGTAATGTCATCTTTGTCATTTATGATTGTACTTATTTGGCTCTTCTCTTTTTTTCTTTGTTTAGCTATCAGGCTATCCATCTTGTTTATTTTTTGAAAAACTAATTATTGGTTTCATTGATCTTTTGTGTGGATTTTTGCATCTAGTCTAAAAAAACAGCACCTCAAAAAGCACTTCATTCAGTGCTTCTCTAATTTTAGATATTTCTCTTCTGCCAGCTTTGGAGTTAGTTTATTCTTTTTTTCTAGTTCCCTTAACTGCAAAGTAGGAAAGTTAATTTGAGATATTTCTAACTTCTTGATGAAGGCATTTCGTGTGTAAACTTTCCTATTAACACTGCCTTAGCTGCATCCCAGAGATTCTGGTATGTTGTGTCCCTATTTTCATTAATTGTAAAGAATTTTTTTATTTCTGCCTTAATTTAGTTTTTCACCCAGGAGTTATTCAGGAGCAAATTATGTAATTACCATGTATTTATGTAGTTTTGAGAGATCTTCTTGATACTGATTTCTATTTTTGTCTCACTGTGGTCAGAGTGTGTGCTTGGTATGATTTCAAACTTTTTGAATTTATTGAGGCTTGCTTTATGGCCAAGCATGTGCTTGATCTTAGAATATGTTCTGTGTGCACATAAGAATGTATCTTCTGTGTTTGTTGGGCAAAGTGTTCTGTAGATGTCTATCAGGTCCAATTGGTCAACTGTCAAGTGCGAGTACAGAGTTTGTTAGTTTTCTGCCTCAATGATCTGTCTATTGCTGTCAGTGGGTTGTTGAAGTCTCCTGCTGTTATTGTGTGTCTAAATCTTTTTGTAGGCCAAGAAAAACTTGTTTTATGAATTTGGGTGCTCCAATGTTGGGTGTGTACATATTTAGGCTAGGTCTTCTGGTTGAATTGTGTCCTTTATCATTCTATAAGGAATGCTCTTCTTTGTCCTTAATTTTTATTCATTAAAAATATGTTTTATTTGGCCAGGTGCAGTGGCTCATGCCTGTAATCCCAGCACTTTGGGAGGCTGAGGCGGGTAGATCACGAGGTCAGGAGTTCGAGGCCAGCCTGACCAACATGGTGAAACCCTATCTGTACTAAAAATACAAAAATTAGCCAGGTGTGGTAGAGCACCCCTGTAATCCCACTTACTCGGGAGGCTGAGGCAGGAGAATTGCTTGAACCCAGGAAGCAGAGGTTGCAGTGAGCCGAGACTGCACCACTGCACTTCAGACTGGCAAGAGACTGAGACTCCATATTAAGAAAAAAAAAAATCAACCACTTAGAATAGTAACACACGTTAAGCAGATCCTGCACCTAGAATGGGTTAAGCAACCATTTGTAAGCATCTTCATGAGAAATGATCACTTCTGGGTTTTTCTGGTAACATTTGAAATAAACATGGAACCAAACTGTATTTCCCTCAGCACATAACTGTCCAAATTACATGTGCAAGTAGAGGTTTATGTAAAAGCCCTGACAGAACTGTACTCAGTCTTTTGAATTAGGTGCATAAGGCTACTGACCACTCTCTATTTTACCAAGGGAAAGAGCAGTGACTTCTCTATTTCAGTACAATTATGGGCAGAAATGACATGATGCAAAATAGAGGTTCTTCCATACAATTTAAGATGTAGGGTATAAGGGAAGACGAAAAAGCAAAATTCCCAAGAAATCAGAATAACTTCACACTGGTCTTGTACTACAAGAAACCCTGAGATGAACTGTAGTCCTCAAACACCTGTGCTTGGCTCAGGCCGTCCAAGACACTTCAGTATGCTTCCAACTGGCTCATCATCAACTTCCTGGTATATTCGTCGGCCAAAAAGAGTGCTAAATCGTCAGGTAATGCTCGAATCATAGTAGGTTTCAGTCCAGAATGTAAGGCCATTATTCCTAGAAGACAAAAGGGCAAGCAAAGACTGCAACAATCCCTCCTTTGGGGACACCCACGCAGCTGCATTGCACAGGTATATTTACACATGCAAATCCAGACAAGAGTGCTAAAAACCAACAAGTCATGGAAGGACGCATTCCCAGCTTTCCCTAAATAGACCAACAGAAACAAGGACAAGTATCAGGTCTCCTGGCAAAACTGACTGATGCTCAGGTAACATACCCCAATTCCATGCTTGGTTAACTCTTAGTACATGGATGGGGCAGTGTTGAGGCCTGAGACGGCCAGACAGATGCAACCATGGAGACAGAGGTGGCCACAGCTTTGCAGCTTCACCTGGGCAGTGGCAAGAGCACCAACCTTGAGGTTGGAGACTGGTTTATAATATTAGTACTGCCCAGGGTGGTTATGAAGATTGAATTAGATAAGGGAGGTATAAGTACTGTGTAAAACTTCGCATGTTATACAAATTTAAGGGAGGATTACTATGAGTAATAGACAAGTTATCTGTGCTCTATTTGGGACACAAAGTTTCTGTGTTACCGTTCTCTTTCCTTTTACAATCAAAACAGAGAAGTTCACTTCTCAGATTTTAAGATGTATACTAGATGCTGTAAAAACAGGTGTTTATTCACCTTCATTTTTCACAACATTTATAAAAGTTCTGATAAATCCTGCCTGTTTTCAAGACATGGAAAGAACTTGAATTCTGGATTTGATACAATCCACTAGATATACCGCAAGCCAGAGGCAAATCCCGCCAACTCCCTCCACCACTTAACATCAAAGGGACAGGGCCTAGATAAAAAAAAAATAGCAAATGGTATTTTATCTCAAGAACAGCTGATGTGACATTTCCAGAGGTCAGCGTAGTAATGGCTGCAGGCAGGTGCAAATAGAAATGCTAGTGCTATGGAAGAGTTCTTTGTGGAAACTGTCAAAGCTCTTGTTCCCAGGCTCTAAGAACACAAGGTTTTGTTTGGTAGCCCAGGTCTACGCCTGGGTCTTGCCAAGTACAAGAAGCTCTAGTGAGGGTTGTATTTCGTTTGGTCACTGAGGTGTCGAGGGCTGGCCCACACGAACCAGCAGGCCTCCAGCTGAGTGGCAACCCCTCACGGTGGGGAGAAGACAGGCCAAACACAATCTACCTCTTTTTTTCTTTTTTCAACTTTCTCATTCTTAAGCATTTTAATAGCCCCGATTCTTCCTTTACCATGTTTTTATTAAACATAGCAGTTAAGTCTGGGAGCTTGTCTAATCCCAGAATAGATTCAAAATGCTGAGGGAGATGGTAAGAACAGGTAAATGCATTTGCATTCACAGCAGTGGGGTGTGATGGTGTTTGCTCCCTGCAGGTATGGTTTCTGTGGATTCTCTGCTCTTTGTGCTCTCCTCCCCACATTGGTGGCTCCATCTGGCACAGGGAAGCTTCTGGATGCCAGAAGGTAACATGTTGGCAGGCAGTTGATAGCACCCCACCCTCCAGGCTTGATAATTTCCTTAGGACAGGGGCTGAAGCAGTACATCCCAAACTTTCTTACTGGAATAAGGTTTGTTAATTTTTCTAGATCTATTTTAGAAGAGAAGAAATTCAGAAATGACCTTCCCAGTTGGGGAATCACCTATAAATAATCTTGAAATAAGCTTAAAACCTGGTAATCTCAGTAGCTTTTTGAGAGTAGCGAAAACCGTAGTTCTTTGTAGCTTATCATGTTTTGTTGGTTGGTACGACTGCATGCGATGTTTGCCTCACATAAGTGAATGAGTTTTTCTTCCCTGATTCCCTGTCTTCTCTCCCCATTTTGTCCTTTACTAAGGAAACTGAACTGAACTGAAGTCCAGGTCTTCTATAATAGAGAGTCTCTCCTTCAACAGGGAACAACACTACAGTCTCCCGTGGCTTTGTTTCTGTTCAGTCTCCACCGTGGCATGCCACACTCTCCTGGTTTGGGCCCTGCTGATTTCTTTACTGCCTTCCTGCCTGCTGTTTTTGTGCTGGTAGGTCATCCCATTCATGCTCAGCCCTCCTCGCTGTCTACACTGTCTTCTTGGGCAATCGTATCCAGTCCCAAGCCTTTTAAAAAAACAAGCTATACCCATCCTGGTGGAATTCCTGCCTATAAAAGGGCACACCTTCAGACCTCCAGGCATGTCCAGCGAACACTGCTATGCACACGGAACCAAATTCAGTTGTGTGGGACCTGCAGCTGCAATTGGGTTTCAAACTCCCATTGCTGATGATCAAGTTAAAATATGAATGTGCTGGATTAAATGCTTTATTCAGCTTATCTGCATCTAGGTTATCTAAATTACACACCCACTTAAAACATTCTGTCACCTCTTCTCTTGGAATAATTAATTATTTTAATGTAATTCAGATCTCATTTTATCCTAGCCCAGCAGCACCTGGGAGAGAATGACTCAATCATAGTAAAATCATATTAAATTATATTCCACTGATTCAGAATTGGAGATAATCTGGCAATTAAAGTGAGAAGTGTGTCATTCCTCTCCTGGAAGAAATGAACAGTAATGATGGGATCACAGAGATCATACATATAAGGGCCCAATACAGGTTCAAAACATGCCCACCGGCAACTGCCTTACATACCTGGCTCCCAACCATACTGTTACAATTTCTATCTTTCAAACTCACTGTAAATTACAAATGTGGTACCCAAATACCTGTATGCACATAAATAGGAAAAGGTAAACTTTTTTTTTTTTTTTAGGTGGATTTTCGCTCTGTCACCCAGGCTGGAGCGTAATAGCACAATCTTCGCTCACTTCAACCTCTGCCTTCTGGGTTCGAGCAATTCTCCTGCCTCAGACTCCCGAGTAACTGGGATTACAGGCGTGTACCACCACGTCTGGCTAATTTTTGTATTTTTAGTAGGGACGGGGTTTTACCATATTGGCCAGGCTGGTCTTGAACTCCTGACCTCAAGTGAACCACCCGCCTCAGCCTCCCAAAGTGCTGAGATTACAGGCTTGAGCAACCTTGCCCAGCCAAAAGTAAACTTTTTAATTCCATCACAATATGTTCTAGATCTTTGACAGACTGAAAGACATAGAATGTCAAAAGGTGAGACTCTCTCATGTGGCTAAACACCCTCCTACTGCAGATACAGAACTGAGCCCAAGAGCATTCACATGCTGGTGAGAAGTGGTGGCCAGGGGCAGGCAGATGGTTGCACCACCCTCAGGGTCAGCATTCTCCCCAGTGTGGCATGGCGAGGAGGGGAGGGGGCACGGGGCCTGGGAGGCTGTAGCCTAAAGGCACGCAGTGGGCAAGAGACTACTGGGCGGGCCCCTGCCAGCCTTCAGTTCCCTGAGTGTCTGGTGCCAGGACGCTTCTTGTGGGCTCTGCCCTGGGAGAAGTGCCCTTGCCCAGTGCTCCTTCTCGGTGTCTGTGACACGCTGTCTCCAGTCCTCCTCATTAGCATAACTTGGCTGACCTTTGGCTCATGGAAAAACACTTTGCTCTTCTCTGAACAATTTCTTTTTCACAACTGAGCAAATGACTGATGAGGTGACCACACTCATGACCATACTCATCTGTTGATGGTGGGTGGGGGGTGGACTGGATGATGACAGCATTGGGCAACACTCCTTCTGGCCTCACCACTGCAGGGAGCCGCAATTACTATGAGAGTCCTGTGGGAGGCCAGGGTAGTCCAGGGTTTCCCTTTGGGCCATCAGCATTCCAACCGCTCCTCCTACTTCTGGCCTCTGGAGAACTAAATTACCACCATGCACTTCCCATTCCACCTCTGCCTCAGCCCGAGGGTCCTGCTCTTCCTGCATATTCAAGCTGATCTTTCTAGGGAGTAGCCTGCACTGTGCCAGCACTACCCCTTGTCACAGGCAGCACCTCCCTGTGCTGGGGGAGCCTCAGTCTGCCCTTGGGCTCAGGCCCCTAGGCTCAGGTTAGCTGACATTCCCAGGAAATCCTACAACTTCTCCTTTCCTTTCATGGCTCTAAGACACAGTCCACTATCAGTCTCATTGTAAAAGACGTTTCTAAAGAGTGTCCTCCTTTCTTTCCCAACACTAGCAGGGACAGTAAGTGATGTTTCCTGGACTGCAGCTTTTTGCCGCCGCCGCTTTTTGCCCACCCCGGGTTTTTGTCCCCCTCCCCTCGCCACCATGGGTTGTTCCCCGCCCCGGCTTTTTGCCCCACCCCGGCGCCGTGGCTTTTTGCCCCCCGCGGATATTTGCCCCCCTGCAGCCGCAGCTTTTTGTCTCCCCGCCTCCGCGGGTTTATGCCCGCCACGGCTTTTTGCCCCCCGCCGCCGCGGCTTTTTGCCGCCGTGGCTATTTGCCCCCGCCGCCGCGGATTTTTGCTGCTGCGCCTTTTTGCCCCCGCCGCCTTAACAACCTTAATTTCACTTGAAATCTAATTTCCCACTGCCATGCAACCTAACATATTTGTATGTTAGGGAATTGTAACTCTGGGAATTAGGACATGAACATTTTTGGGAGGCTATTATGTTGTCTACAGCAGACATAATCTATTTACCTGCAGATTAAAGTGCTCTTTATTTTTCTGCCTCCCTCTCTTAATTGTTTTAAAATAATATGAATTGTAGGAAAGAGAAAAGAAAGAAAAAAGAAGGAAGGAAAGAAGGAAGGAAGGAAAGAAAGAAGAAAGAAAAGAAGGAGGAAATGAGAGAAGGGAGGGAGGGAGGAAGGGAGAAAGGCAGGAAGGGAGAAAAAAGCAAGAACTCAAGAAAGAGAGAAAGAAAGTGAGAAAGAAGAAGGAAAGGAGGAAGAGAGAATGGTAAAAGGGAGGAAGGCAAAGACACGAAGAAAATAAAGAGGAGAAGGAAGGAAAAAGGAGGAAAGGAAGGGAGGGAGGAAGGAAGAAAAGGAGGGAGGAAGGGAGAAAAAAGGAAAGAAAGCAACAAAGTGAGAAAGAATAAGAGAAAAGAAGGAAGAAAAGGGAGAAAGGGTGGGGGGAGGGAAGGAAGAATAAGGGGAAAGAAAGAAGGAAAGAAGGAAGGAAGGAGAAAAGAAAGAAAAGAAAGGAAAAGAAAAAAAAGAAAGAGGAAAAGAAGAAAGGAAGGAAGAAGGCAAGGGAACGGAAGAGAAGAGAAAGGAAGATGGAAAGATAGAAAGAAGGGAGGAAGATCGCAAATATTAGAAATTCTGGGTTTGTTAGAGAATATGCCATAGTGTTTTTTTTTTTCACTTGAAAAGAAAGAGTATCTGCCATTGCAGATTGGATGTCTTGTTGGTGATATTGTTGTTCTTATCTTCCATATGACTACTGAGTTTGTGCCTAGTCTATCCATTACTAAGACAAAAGTGTTGAAGTCTGCAAATATAATTTTGGATTTTTCTAGTTCACCTTTGATTTCTTTCATGTTTTACCTCATGTATTTGGAGGTTCTGTTGTTAGCTGCATAACCTAATTAGGAGGATGCTTACATCTTCTTGAGAATTGATTATTATATTATCTATTACCTCTCATCTCTGATACTATTTCTTGTTCTGAACTCTGTTGTATCTAATATCTATGTAGTCCTTCAACAGCTTTATTTTATTGTTTCCATGATATGGCTTTCTCCATATCTTGATGATAACCTATTTATATCTCTATATATTTGGAGCAAGATATAAAATTTAGAGTTGATTTTTAAAAGATTTTTCAAGATTTAATTCTTATTTATTTTTGTTCTATTTGACATTCTCTGAGTCTCCTATATCTGAAGTTCCATTTTCTGTCACTTCTTTTAGAATATTTTTGGCAGTTATTTTGAAAAATATTTCTTTTGCTCCATTATTTTTCCCTCTTTTCTTTTTGGGATTTCAGTCATAACTAGAGTAGGTAATTTCATCTCAGTCTCATGCAGGTACTTTTTCTCAGGGTCTCAGGAATGTAGCCTTCTCACACTTCTGTTCTTTTCCTGGCTGTGTTAGTGAGCTCAGTGATATTCCTCCTTCACCTTCAAGAGCAGTTTTGTTTTGTTTTTCCTGTTTTCATACTCCCAGCATCAGGAGTATTCTAAGTGTGGCAGTTTTTGTTGCCTTCCCCTGCATATTAAGTGGAATATCTTGGTCTATTTGGACTCTTATAACAAAATAACATATACTGGGTGACTAAAAAACAACAGATATTTCTCTTTTCACACTTCTTGAGGCTGTAAGATCTCAGGTCAAGATGCTCACAAATTCAGTGTTGATGAGAGCCCATTTCATGGTTCATAGATGGTGCCTTCTTTCTATGTCCTCACACAGTGGAAGGCACACAAGAACTCCATTGAGCTTCTTTTATAAAGGCACTAATCCCATTCATAAGGGCTCGGCCCCCAAGACCTGGTCACCTCCCAAGTGTTCTGCTCTCCCTGATCTGTGTCATATACAGACTCTCTTGGATTTCTCACCAATTGCTTGAGAGATCGCAGTGGGTTTGTGGGGAAAAAGTTTTCAAGATGATGGATCTTTCCCAACTTCTGCAGCTGTCAGCGGTCTCCGAATTTCACCAGCCCCACTTTGTCTTTAGGAATTTATTGATTATTCCAGCTTTACTTGTCATAATGGTGTCTATTTGCATCTGTCCTATGTAAGTGCATCTGTCCTCTTTCTCCTTGCAGGTGCTTGTTTTCCCTCACATTTTGACTCAGTTCTTGGCAACCTGGTTGCTATAAAAATAAAGTCATGACTTTGAAGTTAGTTTGGTTCTTTCATTGTTGTCAGGTTAGGAAACCTATTCCATCCCAGATCTCCAAAACCCAGACTTTTTGGGGGGTTGAAATTTTAGGCTTTCTCTTTGAATTGTAGTTTTATCTTCTTTCAGTTACAATTTGCGTTTTCATAATGATTAATGAGACTAAGCTTTTTTTGTGTAGTTGACTGTACCTTTGGATTTTTTTCCCAAATCCCTTTTCATTCCTTATTTTCTTTATGGTTTTAGAAAATGTAGTTTACATAATTGCAGCTTGATTTTTTACTCAGGTAATGGCATGCTTAATAGAGAGAAAAAATATTAACTATATTTCCCTTTTTAATTACTGTGCTTTTTTCTTCTTTAAGGAAATATTTCATTATGTTAAATTTTAGTGTTATTCTACTCAGCTATTCCTTAACTATTATAGTATTTTGGATTTCACATATAAATTTGTAACACATCTTGAGTTTATTGTATATAGAGTAAGGCTATTTTCTATTTTTTTAAGGTAAAAATCACATAATATAAAATTAATAACTTAAGAATTTTAAAGCATACAACGCAGTTGCTTTTAGTATATTCACAATGTTCCAGGACAATTTCATCATGTCCCTTCTAAAAACCCAATTATGCATGAAGTTGTTACACCCTGTTCTGCTTCCCTGAGCCCTAATGACCACTAATCTGATTTATATCCCAGTTGATTTGCCAATTCCTGATGTTTCATGTGAATAAAATCAAGTAATATTTATCCTTTTGTGCACTTAACGTAATGCTTTCAAATTTCACCCATATTATACCATGTATAAGTACTTCATTCTTTGTTATAGCTGGAAATTGGGTGTCCATTTATGAGTCAACAAGCATATGGATTGTTTCCACTTTTTGACTGTAAGAATATTACTGCTATAAATATTCATGCATATGTTTATTTTTTGAGCACCTAGGTTTTCTAAGATTAACAGCTGACTTAACAGAAACAATGGAAGGCAAGAGGCAGTAGAATAATATATTCAAAAGATGCAAAGAAAAAAACTGTCAGCCACCAATTCCTTATCGAGCAATTATTTTTCAAAAATGAAGATAACAGAAAGACTTACACAGATAAACCAAAATATTAACCGAAGTTGTTGCTGGCAGACCTACCATACAAAAAAAAAAAAACACTAAAATAAATTCCTAAGGCTAAAAGCAAGTTACACAAGCCAGTCATTTGAATCCACATTTTTAAAAAAGCACTGGTATAGGTAATATTAACATTATAAAAACAGTAGAAATGCATATTTTCTCTTTATCATAAATTGTTTATAAAATAATATGCATATAACGGCCGGGCACTATGGCTCACGCCTGTAATCTCAACATTTCGGGAGGCCGAGGCGGGCGTATTATGAGGCCAGGAGATAGAGCCCATCCTGGCTAACACAGTGAAACCCCGTCTCTACTAAAAATACAAAAAATTAGCCAGGCGTGATGGCAGGCGCCTGTAGTCCCAGCTACTCGGGAGGCTGAAGCTGAAGAATGGCATGAAGCCGGGAGATGGAGCTTGCAGTGAGCGGAGATTGTGCCACTGCACTCCAGCCTGGGTGACAGAGGGAGACTCCGTCTCAATGATAATAATAATATATGCATAATGTATTGCTGAGTATTTGACATGTAGAAATGTAATACGTCTATAACATATTTTCCAGTAACATCAACAAGGAGGTAGTTGGAAGAAAAATGTATTGTGATAAGGTAATCACTCTAGATGGTAAAGCAATAATTACTAAAATATATTGTTGGCTTTGTAACTTTAATAGATGTAACGTGTAAAGTGATAATACTTTAAAATGGAGGAAATAAAAGAGATTTGTATAAGAATGATGTTTCTATGTATTACTAAAAGTTTACTAGTATAAATTGGAAGATGATTTGAATAAATAATTTTCCATATACCTATATGGTAAACTTACAACAACAAAAATTCTCAAAAATATATAGTAAAATAATTCATTAGTAATCTAGAGTTCCCTATTTTAGAAAATATTCATTCATTGCAAAATAAAGGAATAAAGAAAAATATTTGAGAAATATACAAAACAAACGGTAAAATGGCAGACATAAATAGAATTATACCAATTATAATATTAAATGTGAGCAGATTAAAATCCCTTCAAGAGGCAGAGATTGTCAGACTGGATTAAAACAAGTGATCCCAATATACCCGGAGATGCAAGGATACCAATGGAATGAAAGTACAAAGATGACAAAAAATATCATGCAAAGAGCAATCATAAGAACACTGAACTCATTATACTCATAACACACGATATACACTATTAAAAATGTGAATAGGATTTTAAACATTTATATTGTAGTAATAAGGAGGTCAACGCTTTTGGTCATAGCTTTTCCCGCTTTTTGGTCATAGCTATTACAGTCATGTATGCACAGATATGAGCTAAATTGTTTCCTCTATATAGATGCTGAAATCTTAACCACTGAATATGACCTCATTAGAAAATAGGTTCTTTGCAGGTGATTAAGTTAAGATAAAATCAGATGAGCCTGAATTCAATATGACTGATGTCCTTATAAAAAGAAAAAATTTGAGTAGAGGGAGACATACACATAGGGAGAGTACCATGTGATTATGAGGACAGAGAATAGCCAAGGAAGGCCAAAGACTGCCACTAAACCACCAGAAGCGAGAAACAAGGCACAGAAGAGACTTTCTCTCATAGCCCTTGAAGGGACCATCCCTGCTGACACCTCAATCTCAGACTTTTAGCTTCCAGGACTATAAGACTATAAATGTATGTTGTTCAAGGCACCCAGTTTGTGTTAGTTGGTTATGGCAGCCCTAGGAAACTAATACATGAACTAATAACAAAGCACAATAACATGAAGCAAAAATTGACAAAAGAGGAGCATCAGCAAAATGGTAGTGGAGACAGCTGCAATCTGTCATTTCCCCACAGAAACATCACACAACTAAGAGAAACTGTCCGAATAAACTTTGCCAAAACTCTGGAAAATGGTCAAAAGATTACAACAACCAAGTGAAAGCAGACTCAAGAGAAAGACAACTGGAAAACTTTATGACATTTTTAACTTGCCTTTGCAGCAGCAAATTGGCAGTTTTGAAGTATCAGAAGCCCACGTTCCCAGTGAGGAACCCTAGTCCATGGTCCAAAGGAACAAGAGAAGATCTTACCCTCAAATTACTATGTGTCTGTTCTGACTGGTCTGGGGGATACCTAAAGGACTCATGAAAGACTTTTTTTTTTCTGTGTTGCTAGAATACAGAACAGATAAGGAATGGACATTATCAAGAAACTCTGCAAGGAGACCTAACAAGCCACAGATGCTTAGGGCAAAAATTAGAGTTTACACATATAGTAGATCACCTTGAGCACAGGAAGAAAAGTTGGAGAAGAGTATTTGGAAAACTAAGACATTCAAAATCATTCACGTACATGGGAGGGTCTAGAAAGTCACATGTATGCATAGGTTAAGCCACATGCTGACAAATGTCATAAGAATACCCTACACTTTTACCTTGGCCGATCCCTCCCCTCAGTGCAAGCTCTGTGCAAGAGTGAACTTGAACTTCACTCAGTGCAAGAGTGAACACACACTTTGTGCCGGCTTTAAAGAACCGAGTACAAAGCCAGTCTGCATGGCCTAGAGACATATTTTGCTGGACAATGATTACTTGTTTTTCTTTTTGTTTTTGTTGTATTTGCCGGTTTGCTTAGTTCCTGACATACAAGAAAATCACTGTCAAAACATTAGCTTAACATTTGTTAAGGAAACAAAAAGACTTCGGTGACCACACCTTATAAAGCAAACAGTTTTGTAAATCACTTTGGAAAATTTCACTAAAAAAAAATCCTTAACAATATAATAAGTAAAGAAGATTTAAAACCACAAAATATTACTGTGTTTGTAGCGGGGGTGGGGGTCTGATTTACAGAGTAACCACATGGTAATTATAATTATTATAATGTCCAGTTTTCAAAAAAAGTTACAAGGCATACAAAGAATGGGAAAGTGTGACTCATTCAAAGGAACAAAACAAACTGACAGAAAATATCTCTAAGGAAACCCAGACTTCAAACTTACTAGACAAAGACTTTAAAACAGCTCTCTTAATTATACTCAAATGTTAAAAGGAAAACACAAACAAAGAAATCAAGGAAACAGAAAAAATATTAAAAAGTAGGAATATCAACAGAGATAGAAGAAATTCTGGAGTGGAAAACTACAACAATAAAAATTTAAAAATCACCAGAGGGATTTAAGAGTATATTTGCACACACAGAAGAAGTCATGAGCTTGAAGATAAGAAAATGGAAAATACTCTGAGAAACAGATAAAAAATGAGCAGAGACTAAGGAATCTGTGGGACATCATCAAATAGACCAACATTCATATTCTAGAAGGATAAATTATGTTGTTGAAAACTTTAGCATTCTTTCTTTCCACCTTTCTTCCTCCCTCTCCCTCCTCCTCCTTTTTACTTTTCTTCCTCTTCCTTTCTCTTCTTCTTTCTCTCCTTCATTATCCCTTTCTCTCTGTTTCTCTTTCTCCCTTTCTCTTTTTTCTTTTCTTTCAATTTTCTCAATTACTAAGAGATGTTTAAATACCCTTACCATGTGAGTTGATATGGTTATTTCTCCCTTTAATCCTCTTTCGAGATTTATAGTCACTCTAAGTAAAGAGATAACCCCAAACATAAGCCTCACAAACAGGCTTCCATACCACTCTTAATTTGGTCCTGTAATTCTTCATTGCTCTATTAACTTTCTGATGCTTTTAAGGATGTTTTATAACAAATTGTTTAGTTTTTTTCACTGGAATGTTTATTCTGAATTATCTAATTCATATTGTAAATATAGAGGGAGTTTAATATAAAATTATTAAACTAATATTTGTGAAAGAATGTATTTGTGCATTTAACAAATATGTTAATCCTCAGACTGTTATTGGGCAGCTGAGCATACAGCAATAAAAATAACATAATTTTTATGTGTACAATATTTATGGAATACGTTACTGGAACAAATAATTTAGTTAATAACATGACAAACGACAGAAATTGTATGCACTATAGAGCATAGTAATGGAATAATGAATGATTAAAGTTATTAATATTAGGTAGAAAATGAAGGGTATCTTTGAGAGCAGAACTCAAGGAAGCAAGCAATTCGCCTTATGAGGAAAGAGTTACCTGTGGATAAAGGAGAATCTGAAAAATTTACAATTCAAGACTTTTTGAGCAAAAACAAAAATATGACTATTAGTCACCAATTCACTACAGTGAAAAAAAAGTTGAAGAGATATCTTGGAAGTAAACCATGCTGTGGAAGAGCATGTAGGGTTTTGATAATCATGGGATGATTCTGAATTAATTTTAAATGCGATAGGAATATATGAGATAATTTCACCAGAGAATAACATGATTGTGTTTGCATTTCAAAGGGGTGTATCTGGTGCACTGTGTAGAATAAATAGGTTATGTGAGCAAATAAATTGGGAGGCTACTGTAATCCAGAGAAAACAGGTAGTGACTTAGGTGAGAATGCTGTGAGGATGAGTGGTATTAGTGGTGAGAAGTCGTTAGGCCATGGATGTATTTCATAGGACTGGCCAAGAGAACTGCAGCTAAATTGGAGTGTAGGGAGTGAAATGGAGAACTCAAATATGACTCTCAGCACTGGAAGGTGACAGCTGTCACTGAAGCATGCTGATGCCTCTTATTAAGAGAGTTACTTGGGAATGGCAAGATCAAAACTTCTCATTTTCAAATTTATGAAAAATATTGTTTTCAGAACGAATGACTTTGGGATCAGAAAGCCATCATTCTAATTGATGGTTCCAAGACTACACGGGCTCACACTCCCAAGAACAGAAGTAAATCATCACAAAGGTGCTTCCTGATAATTCTAGAGAATGGAGAATTACTGTAACATCTTTCTGATTTTAGGAGAGGAACAATTCCCTTTTTAGTCTAAATGCTATTTTTTTTTAAAGCTCAGCCAAGAGACTCCATTATAATTTTCAAAAGTGTGTAACTTAAATTCTCATATGAAATACCACTATGCGTAAATTAGTCAAAACATTTTCTCCATCTACAACTCTATCTTGTCATTGCAATCATTTTCACAAAAGTGACTGCAGCTCACAGACCCTAAAAGGAGAAAATCCAGGGTAGGTTATCTGATCTAGTTAGTTTCGAAGACAGGATCTAGAGATTATTTAATATGAAATAGGTCACCTGAAATGAAGTGTTCACTGAAAACAGCTTGGATCAGCCCAGTTTTCTACCACTGAACCATGCATTTGGTTTCAAAAACACAACAACTCTGGCTGCTTCCAACTGTGTTGAAGGTGTTAAAGAAAACAGCATAAAATTATAAATGATCATCTGAGGCCTTTGTAGTCTCTGCTGAAGAGACTAGAGTCTTCCATTCTTAACGAAACAACCAAATATCTTAATAATTGGGCAAAATCTAAATATCGGAGAGATAATTTTATCTTGAAGATTGTTAAATTATAATGGTGATTCACTACCTTGCCACGTCTCTGAGTCAAAAATTAGAACTTTGTTTAGGAATCAATGGTACTCTGCAACTTGGAAATAGGAAGATTTTAGAAGACTCAAACACTGACTTTCTTGTGTGCAAAAAAAAGACAAATTGAGATAAGACAAGTCTTTCCTTGCAATGATACCTCTAATGCTCATACACCACCTCCCCTAACGTTAATATAGCTTCCAGGTCACTAAGCAGTGTCAGAGAGCAGCCCATGCAACTACAAATTCAATAGATGTTGAACACAGGGTCAAGCCTAGAATAAGAAGTCTTAGCTAATTAAGTATGCTTTTTTCCCCAAATTCATATGAACAAAAACTTGGATATGTCAGAGAATGCATTCTAAGTTCACTCAACCTAGGAGGGAGAAACATAATTTTAAATTAAGAGCTGAAGCATTCTTGTCCTAACAGAAAGCAAGGAAAACGAAATATCACACCACAGGAGGGATTTCACAAATTAGTGTCAACATCAAAACCTTAAAATAGGCAAGGAGAATGCAGATTCACGATGAACTCTTGTACTTGTTTTGTTCAGAGAAGAGATGGTTCTGAGAGAATGACAGTGAACTAACCCCAGCTGGTTTAGTTGGTGCTTTCGACTGCTGCTTCTGATAAACTCCTTTAGCTAGAACAAATTGATGAGGATTTTGGCATGTGGTATTAGAGATGGTTATTAATTTTTTCCTCGTATTTGCATTGTTCAATGTAGTAAATACTAGCTGTATATGGCTACTTCAATTCAAATTAATTACAAGGAAATATACTTCAATATTGAATTTTTTAGTCACTGTTGGTTCATTATTGAATATCTTCAGCTAAGATTTCCCATCTAAATACACTAAGAGGTGGCTTAGTTAACTGGTCGTCCACAAATATTGAAGCTGATGTTAACTCCTGATATATTCTCTGCAAAGAGAATATTCATAAGCCTCCTCCTGAAATCAGCAGCCTAGAGATAGTTTTATAAATTGGATACCAGTTGGAAATCTATACTCTTTAAGTTTTTGAAATATTAGCTTCCCAGGGAAGAAAATCAAATTCGTAAGATATGTTAGGACAATTTAACTCAAGATGTTCAAAACTGAAATGACATATTCTACAATATATGATAAAACCACCCGCTAACAACTTAAAGCAAAACAGGGATTGACCTTAAAGACCTGCCTTTGCCTCATCCCCCAGCCAATCAGTTTTCAAATCTTGCATTTAATTTCGAAAGGTCCTTATCCCCCTAGTCTCTTGTTTCTAGACTTGGCACATATTTAAGCTTGTTACCTCTATGTACTGACTTTTCTCTTTTCAAACAGTATCTATGCCTGCCAAATGTGAACATACAAAAAACAAATCAGAATGTGCCATTCTGATTTAAACTGCTTATTAGTTAATACCCTCAAGGTAACATCTGGGTTCTTAGCTGCAATGAGTCAAGCCTACTTACATCTTCTTTTGTCTTTGGCTGCACATTTCCTATCACATCACACTCCAGCAAAGCCAAGCTGTGCCGGACTTCTACCCCATCTCCACTATTTTGCCCTCCGTCGCGGCGGCTTTTTGCCCCCCCGGCGCCGCGGCTTTTTGCTCCCCCGCCGCCTCGGGTTTATGCCCGCCACGGGTTTTTGCCGCCCGCTGCGGCTTTTTGCCCCCCTCCGGTGCCGCGGTTATTTGCCCGCCGCGGCTTTTTGCCCCCGCCGCTTTGGCTTTTTGCCCCCGCCGCCGCGGCTTTTTGTGTTTTTTTGCCCCTGCTCCCACTGATTTTGCCCCCACCACCGCGGCTTTTTGCGGCTGTTTGCGCCCGCCACCGTGGCTTTTTGCCGCCCCGGCTTTTTGGCTCCGCCGCCGCGGCTTTTTCCGCCCGTCAGCGCAGCTTTTTGTTGCGGCGGCTTTTTGCCCGGCCTTTGCTGCCTTCTTATTTAATCAGAGCCTTAATTTGAACCTCAGGTCATCAAATCTGGAAGGTGATAACACCAAAAGAGAACACTGGAGCTGTGGGAGGGAACAACTGGGGAAAACAAGAGGACTCTACCCAGGAAAAGAGCAAGAACACGCAGACCAACATCTCATCTGGAGGAAGTTCAGAAACACTGGAAAGCTCACACCCAGACTCAGGATCACAATATGGACCCAGGAAAAGTCGCAAAATCTCCCTTTATTCTATTGCCTTCAACCAATTTCACTATTGTCAGTTAAATATAACATTTTAACCCACCTGAAGGAGCTGAAAGAGATTCTCTGGAGGAGGGAACAGGTGATGAGACAAAGCCAAGCAGGAAAGAAAAACGAGGTATCACTGGAGCATCTGAAGTCTCTGGTGGACACAGAACAGACTTCAACTCTGATGTCCACTGCAAAAGTAAATGTCAAATGTAGCTGTGAGAAGATTCACGGACATTTCCACAATAATTGCCTGGCAAAGATAAAGTGTGGTCAAATACAGGCAGAAAATGGATAAAATGAAATAAGCCAGTATCAACTGTCAAACCCAACATGTCTGGTTATCAACAACGATTATTACATATATTAATGAGAAATACCAAAGTCACAATAAAGAAATAATCAGAAAGGGATTTATAAAAGATACAGGTATTATAACTAATTAAATAAGATATATAATGTAACTATAATTCATATGTAAAAATCTCTTGAAGAAACTGTGGACATAATGCAGGACTAGATAGGGGACTGAGAGATGAAAATACTAAGAAGTAATCAAATGGAAATGCATGAGAAATCAAAAGCAATGCAGTATGAACATTGAGCAATCTTTGGGCACACTGCTCATTAGAGCTGGCTCAGCTTTTAAATGAAACCATGCACTTAAAATGTCACTAGAAATTTAACAAGTAAATTGCAAAGGAAAAGAGTGAAGAAACTAAACAATATCAAAAGTGTAGTAAATGTATACTTTAATTCTGAAAAGTAGAAATTATAGATACAGAGAAAGTATTTGAAAAAATAATGGTTGAGAATGTTCCCAATTTTGTGAAAGACACTGAACTACAGATCCCAGAATCACAGAGAACCCCAAGCAGAGTAAACACAGATACAGACACACACCACACATCCAACATGGACAGCGTGGTTAAAGAAAAATTGCTCACATCACACACCACACACATTTCATCAACTTTATTCCTTTTGCTTAGTTGTTTTAAATGTATTGGCATTTATAGTATTAAGTAGAAGTCTATAATTAAAATATATTATTCTATGCATAAGTCTGTCTATGCTTACCATGATCAAATACACAGCTTGGTGCAAATGAGTGTAACTATGTTGTTAGGAATTTCACTATTTCAAATAAAAATGGTATTTTTTTCAGGCTCTGTGTTGAATCACTTGTAATGTATGGCAATACAATCCTTTTTAATTAAAGGATTTTTTAGGTTGGCAGATAATGATTGTTTATATTTATGGGATACAGTGTGATATTTCAATACATCTCTGCCATGTGGTTTGACCAAATCAGAACAATGAGAAAATTCATCAGCTCAGACATTAACATTTATTTGTGTTGGTAGCATACAAAATGCTCTCTTCTGGCTACTTGTAAACGTACAATATATTGTTAGCTGTAGTCATCCTACTGCGCTGTAGAACACTAGAGCATATCCCTCCCGTCTACCTGTAATTGTGCATTTGTTAACAAGCCTCTTCTTGTCTCTCAGTCTCCTCCCATTTGGAGCATCTCATAACCACTACTCTACTATTTACTTCTAGAAGATCAACTTTCTTAAACTTCCACATTAAATTGAGAAAATGTGGTATTTATTTTTCTAGTCTGTCTTCTTTCATTCACCATAAGGGTGTCCAGTTCCAACCATGTTGCTTCAAATGGCAGAATTTCATTTTTAAGGCTGAATAATATTTCATTGTGTAAATTTACCTCATTTTATTTATCCATTCATCTGTTCATGGACACATATGTTGATTTCATAGCTTAGCTATTTCAATTAGTGCTGCAGTAAACATGGGTGTACAGGTATCTCTTCAATTTTAGTTTTTTCTTTTAATTATTTAAATAGATAAATACTCAGCAGTTGGATCGCTGAATTATATGGCAGTTCTATTTTTTTCCCATGATGGCTATACTAATTTACATTTCCACCAGTGGTCAATAAGAGTGTCCCCTTCTATGCAGCCTTGCTAGCTTTTGTTTTCCTTATTTTGGCTTTCTGTTAACAGAATTTCCAGCAAAGATGAAGGATGAAAAGATATCTCATTGTGAATTTGCATGTTCCTGAATATTAGTGCTGTCTAGCAATATATGTGTGCATATATACTTATCATCTATCTATCTATTGATCCTTTCCACGTCTTCCTTGGACAGATGTTCATTCATGTTATTTGCCCATTATTATTCAGATTATTAATTGCAGTTCAGTTAATTTTATATGCTTTATAGTAATCCCTTGTCAAATGAACAGTTTTCAAATATTGTCTATCATCTGCAGGTTCTCTCCTCACTCAACTGTTTCCTTTACTGGGCAGGAGCTAAAATTTCTTGATAGAACCTGGACAGGTGGGCTGTGGAGCTGTGGGACATTGGAGGAGAAGAGATGGTCTCCACTTGCTGTAAGCTCACACTATATTCTTCGCTTACTCTCTGAACCATTTTATGAGGGTAGTGATGAGCCCTCACTAAATTTAATTTAATTTTCAGTAAATGGAAATTAAATGGAAATTGTATATCTTCTCAGCATGAATCCCATGGGCAGTCATGAATTATTCTTCTGGTTATAGTAATTGATTTTTCTTGGCATGTTCATTACTAGTAATATTCAAAGTCATTTCATTTAAATCTTTGATGCTTAATTTTTTTGTTTTTGCTATGACATTCTTTCTTCTATTGAATCTTCCCTTTAGCATTATAACATGATCCAGTACCCAGGCTCAGTTGTCGTTAATAGTAACCACATATGTTAAAAACTATGTCTTCTTTCCACAGCAGACAAGATTTTCTCTTTTCTGGGGATGAACACACACTGCTGAGCTACCCCCACTCACAAGAACATATCCACAATTATGATATTTTCATTTATTTGACTAATAAGTTATATTATTCTCCCTTCAAGTTCTTCACCCCTCAGAAGTCCCGGACAAACTCTTCTGCATCTGGTCAAACCATAAACTCAGAAACAAAACCACATGGTGAGTAAAAGCTTACTTGATTCTGGATATTGGGTCCAGCTCTTCCCCATTTATGTCCCACAGCACCTCAGCCCACCTGTCCAGGTTCTATCAAGAAACCAAAACTCAGGGGTGGTTCCAAAATGGCCGAATAGGAACAACTCCAGTCTACAGCTCACAGTGTGAGCGACACAGAAGATGAATGATTTCTGCATTTCCAACTGAGGTACCAGGTTCATCTCACCGGGGACTGTCGGACAGTGCGTGCAGGACAGTGGGTGCAGCGCACCGAGCATGAGCCAAAGCAGGGCGAAGAATCGCCTCACCCAGGAAGTGCAAGGGGTCAGGGAATTCCCTTTCCTAGCCAAGGAAAGGGGTGACAGATGGCACCTGGAAAATCGGGTCACTCCCACACTAATACTGTGCTTTTCTGATGGTCTTAGCAAACAGCACACCAGGAGATTATATCCCGTGCATATCTTGGAGGGTCCCACGCCCACAGAGCCTTGCTCATTGCTAGCACAGCACTCTGAGATCAAACTGCAAGGCAACAGCGAGGCTGGGGAAGGGGGGCCTGCCATTACCAAGGCTTGAGTAAATAAACAAAGTGGCCAGGAAGCTCGAACTGGGTGGAGCCCACCACAGCTCAAGGAGGCCTGCCTGCCTCTGTAGACTTCACCTCTGGGGGCAGGGCATAGCCAAATAAAAGGCAGCAGAAACCTCTGCAGACTTAAATTGTCCCTGTTTGACAGCTTTGAAGACAGTAGTGGTTCTCCCAGCATGCAGCTTGAGATCTGAGAATGGACAGACTGCCTCCTCAAGTGGGTCCCTGACCCCCAGGTAGCCTAACTGGGAGGCACTCCCCAGTAGCGGCAGACTGACATCTCACATGGCCGGGTACTCCTCTGAGATGAAACATCCAGAGGAAAGATCAGGCAGCAACATTTGCTGTTCACCAATATTCACTGTTCTGCAGCCTCCACTGCTGATACCCAGGCAAACAGGGTCTGGAGTGGACCTCCAGCAAACTCCAACAGACCTGCAACTGAGGGTCCTGACTGTTAGAAGGAAAACTAACAAACAGAAAGGACATCCACACCAAAACCCCATCTGTACATCACCTTCATCAAAGACCAAAGGTAGATAAATCCACAAAGACGGAGAAAAAACAGAGCAGAAAAACTGAAAATTCTAAAAATCAGAGTGCCTCTCCTTCTCCAAAGGAATGCAGCTCCTCACCAGCAATGGAAAAAAGCTGGATGGAGAATGACTTTGATGAGTTGAGAGAAGAAGGCTTCAGACTATCAAACTTCTCCAAGCTAAAGGAGGAAGCTCAAACCCATGGCAAACAAGTTAAAAACCTTGAAAAAAGATTAGACGAATGACTAACTAGAATAACCAATGCAGAGAAGTCCTTAAAGGATCTGAAGGAGCTAAAAATCATGACACAAGAACTGTGTGATGAATGCATGAGCTTCAGTAGCTGATTCAATCAACTGGAAGAAAGGTTATCAGTGATGGAAGGTCAAATGAATGAAATGAAGTGAGAAAAGAAGTTTAGAGAAAAAGGAATAAAAAGAACAAAGCCTTCAAGAAATATGGGACTATGTGAAAAGACCAAATCTATGTCTGATTGGTGTACCTGAAAGTGACGGGGAGAATGGAACCAAGTTGCAAAACACTCTGCAGGCTATTATCCAGAACTTCCCCAATCTAGAAAGGCAGACCAACATTCAAATTCAGGAAATACAGAGAATGTCACAAAGATACTCCTCAAGAACAGCAACTCCAAGACACATAATTGTCAGATTCACCAAAGTTGAAATGAAGGAAAAAAATGTTAAGGGAAGCCAGAGAGAAAGGTTGGGTTACCCACAAAGGGAAGCCCATCGGACTAACAGTGGATCTCTCGGCAGAAACTCTACAAGCCAGAAGAGAGTGGGGGCCAATATTCAACATTCTTAAAGAAAATAATTTCAACCCAGAATTTCATATCCAGCCAAACTAAGCTCCATAAGTGAGGGAGAAATACAATCCTTTACAGACAAGCAAATGATGAGAGATTTTGTCACCACCAGGCCTGCCCTAAAAGAGCTCCTGAAGGAAGCACTAAACATGGAAAGGAACAACCGGTAACAGCCACTGCAAAAACATGCCAAATTGTAAAGACCACCAAAGCTAGGAAGAAACTGCATCAACTAACGAGCCAAATAACCAGCTAACATCACAATGACGGGATCAAATTCACACATAACAATATTAACCTTAAATGAAAATGGGCTCAGTGCACCAATTAAAGACACAGACTGGCAAGTTGGATAAAGAGTCAAGACCCTTCAGTGTGCTGTATTCAGGAAACCCATCTCATGTGCAGAGACACACACAGGCTCAAAATAAAGGGATGGGGGAAGATCTACCAAGCAAATGGAAAACAAAAAAAGGTAGGGGTTGCAATCCTAGTCTCCGATAAAACAGACTTTAAACCAACAAAGATCAGAAGAGACAAAGAAGGCCATTACAGAATGGTAAAGGGATCAATTCAACAAGAAGAGTTAACTATCCTAAATATATATGCACCAAATACAGGAGAACCCAGATTCATAAAGCAAGTCCTTAGAGACCTACAAAGAGACTTAGACTCCCACACAATAATAGTGGGAGACTTTAACACCCCACTGTCAACATTAGACAGATCAACGAGACAGAAAGTTAACAAGGATATCCAGGAATTGAACTCAGCTCTGCACCAAGCAGACATAATAGACATCTACAGAACTCTCTATGCCAAATCAACAGAATATACATTCTTTCAGCACCACACCGCACTTACTCCAAAACTGACCACATAGTTGGAAGTAAAGCACTCCTCAGCAAATGTAAAAGAACAGAAATTATAACAAACTGTCTCTCAGACCACAGTGCAATCAAACTAGAACTCAGGATTAAGAAACTCACTCAAACCGTTCAACTACATGGAAACTGAACAAACTGCTCCTGAATGACTACTGGGTACATAATGAAATGAAGGTAGAAATAAAGATGTTCTTTGAAACCAACGAGAACAAAGACACAACATACCAGAATCTCTGGGACACATTTAAAGCAGTGTGTAGAGGGAAATTTATAGCACTAAATGCCCACAAGAGAAAGCAGGAAAGATCTAAAATTGACACCCTAACATCACAATTAAAAGAACTAGAGAAGCAAGAGCAAATACATTCAAAAGCTAGCAGAAGGCAAGAAATAACTAAGATCAGATCAGAACTGAAGGAGATAGACACACAAAAAGCCCTTCAAAAAATCAATGAATCCAGGAGATGGTTTTTCGAAAAGATCAACAAAATTGATAGACCACTAACCAGACTAATAAAGAAGAAAAGAGAGAAGAATCAAATAGACACAATAAAAAATGATAAAGGAGATATCACCACCGATCCCACAGACATACAAACTGCCATCACAGAATACTATAAACACCTCTACGCAAATAAACTAGAAAATCTAGAAGAAATGGATAAATTCCTCGACACATACACCCTCCCAAGACTAAACCAGGAAGAAGTTGAGTCCTTGAATAGACCAATAATAGGCTCTGAAATTGAGGCAATAATTAATAGCCTACGAATTAAAAAATGTCCAGGACCAGACAGATTCACAGCTGAATTTTACCAGAGGTACAAGGAGGAGCTGGTACCATTCCTTCTGAAACTATTCCAATCTATAGAAAAAAAGGGAATGCTCCCTAACTCATTTTACGAGGCCAGCATCATTCTGATACCAAAGCCTGGCAGAGACACAACAAAAAAAGAGAATTTTAGACCAATATCCCTGATGAACATCATTGCAAAAATCCTCAGTATAATACTGGCAAACTGAATCCAGCAGCACATCAAAAACTTATCCACCGTGATCAAGTGGGCTTCATTCCTGGGATGCAAGTCTGGTTCAACATACACAAATCAATAAATGTAATCCAGCATATAAATAGAACCAATGACAAAAACCACATGATTATCTCAGTAGATGAAGAAAAGGCCTTTGACAAAATTCAACAACCCTTCATGCTAAAAACTCTCAATAATTTAGGTATTGATGGGACGTATCTCAAAATAATAAGAGCTATCTATGACAAACCCACAGCCAATATCATACTGAATGGGCAAAAACTGGAAGCATTCCCTTTGAAAACTGGCACAAGACAGGGATGCCCTTTCTCATCACTCCTATTCAACATAGTGTTGCAAGTTTTGGCCAGAGCAATCAGACAGGAGAAGGAAATAAAGGGTATTCAATGAAGAAAAGAGGAAGTCAAATTGTCCCTGTTTGCAGATGACATGATTGTATATCTAGAAAACCCCATCATCTCAGCCCAAAATTTCCTTAAGCTGATAAGCAACTTCAGCAAAGTCTCAGGATACAAAATCAATGTGCAGAAATCACAAGCATTCTTATACACCAATAACAGACAGAGCCAAATCATGAGTGAACTCCCATTCACAATTGCTTCAAAGAGAATAAAATACCTAGGAATCCAACTTACAAGGGAGGTGAAGGACCTATTCAAGGAGAACTACAAACCACTGCTCAATGAAACAAAAGAAGATATAAACAAATGGAAGAACATTCCATGCTCATGGGTAGGAAGAATCAATATCATGAAAATGGCCATACTGCCCAAGGTAATTTATAGATTCAATGTCATCCCCATCAAGCTACCAATGACTTTCTTCACAGAATTGGAAAAAAACTACTTTAAAGTTCATATGGAATCAAAAAGGAGCCCGCATTGCCAAGTCAATCCTAAGCCAAAAGAACAAAACTGGAGCCATCACACTACCTGACTTCAAACTATACTACAAGGCTACAGCAACCAAAACAGTATGGTACTGGTACCTAAACAGAGATATAGACCAATGGAACAGAACAGAGCCCTCAGAAATAATGCCACATATCTACAACTATCTGATCTTTGGCAAACCTGACCAAAACAAAATATGGGGAAAGGATTCCCTATTTAATAAACGGTGCTGGGAAAACTGGCTAGCCATATGTAGAAAGCTGAAACTGGATCCCTTCCTTACAACTTATAAAAATTAAATTAAGATGGATCAAAGACTTAAATGTTAGATCTAAAACCATAAAAACCCTAGAAGAAAACCTAGGCAATACCATTCAGGACATAGGCTTGGGCAAGGACTTCATGTCGAAAACAGCAAAAGCAATGGCAACAAAAGCCAAAATTGACAAATGGGATCTAATTAAACTAAAGAGCTTCTGCACAGCAAAAGAAACTACCATCAGAGTAAACAGGCAACCTACAGAATGGGAGAAAATGTTTGCAATCTACTCATCTGACAAAGGGCTAATATCCAGAATCTACAGAGAACCCAAACAAATTTACAAGAAAAAAACAAACAACCCCATCAACAAGTGGGTGAAGGATATGAACAGACACTTCTCAAAAGAAAACATTTATGCAGCCAAAAGACACATAAAAAAATGTTCATCTTCACTGGCCATCAGAGAAATGCAAATCAAAACCACGATGAGATACCATCTCACACCAGTTAGAATGGCGATCATTAAAAAGTCAGGAAACAACAGGTGCTGGAGAGGATGTGGAGAAATAGGAATACTTTCACACTGTTTTTGGGACTGTAAACTAGTTCAACCATTGTGGAAGTCAGTGTGGCAATTCCTTAGGGATCTAGAACTAGAAATACCATTTGACCTAGCCATCTCATTACTGTGTATATACCCAAAGGATTTTAAATCTTGCTGCTATAAAGACACATGCACATGTATGTTTATTGTGGCACTATTCACTATAGCAAAGACTTGGAACCAACCCAAATGTCCAACAATGCTAGACTGGATTAAGAAAATGTGGCACATATACACCATGGAATACTATGCAGCCATAAAAAAGGATGAGTTCATGTCCTTTGTAGGGACATGGATGAAGCTGCGAACCATCATTCTCAGCAAACTATCACCAGAACAAAAAACCAAACACTGCATGTTCTCACTCATAGGTGGGAATTGAACAATGAGAACACATGGACACAGGAAGGGGAACATCACACACTGGGGCCTGTTGTGGGGTGAGGGGAGTGGGGAGGGATAGCATTAGGAGATATACCTAATGTAAATGATGAGTTAATGGGTGCAACACCCAACATGGCACATGTATGCATATGTAACAAACCTGCACGTTATGCACATGTACCCTAAAACTTAAAGTATAATAAAAAAAAAAAGAAATCAGCACAATTGGAAGGCTACTCCAACAGAGAGAATTTGGACCTATTTAATTAATAGACTGGAATTCACTCAAAGACACTCTCCTATGGGATCTCAAACTTAAGCAGATCTCTGTAAGCTGAAGAAGTTTCCTCAACAGATATTTTTCTCTAGGCATCAAAAAATGGAAAAACACATTTTGGATATTTGTGCATGAGTGATCTGTAGAAGGCCTTGGCCTATTAATGAAAGTTCATGGATATATGATAACTTCATCACTTACTGTGCACTCACACTTCACTGGTTTCAAAAATTCCTCACCCGTGTGATGGGGCAATGCAGAAGAAGACACAATAGTGCCATCTTCCTCATGAACACAACTCTGCATTCCCCAGATAACTTAGCCCTGCCTGAGGGGAGAGCTATTAGCTTTCACAGTCCAAAAGCATTTCATTCCCTGGAGCCTGAAGAATAATTTGGATGTGGAACAACCTTGTACTTATAACAGAGAAGGACAGAGGTCAGACTCCCACTGGATTTGAATATGTTTTCTTGTTTTCTGTTTATTTTCTGGTTGATGTGAAGCATTTTCTTGCCAAAAATTACAGCCATGACATTTGATAAAATCTGCTTAATCTGATTTTCCCACCTGTGACATTTGTACTTCATCAAGTGAGCAATGTGCATACCTTACAGGAACAATTACAAAATAACTCTCTAAGTCATCAGTATCACACAAACGCTATCCTGTCCTTACTGCCAAATATCTTCTGGAAAGATTTAAGTAAAAATAAATCATAAATTGCATCTTTAAGTTAAAAGTAGCATAATATCCAGAAACTCAGGAACTCCCTTTGCCAAAGGTACTCCCACCAGAACTTACAACCCTTAGTCTGCTTCCTCAAGGACACAGACATTATCACCCTATGGCTTGGTTCATCAAAAGCCCATGTATTTCCCATTTTACCTTCAGTTTTATATACTGATTAATCGCAAGCCGATACAGCAAAGTATTTTAAGGGATTGATGTGCTATGCAGAATCATTCAACAGGATGTTAAAGATGGCTTCCTGGCCAGGCGCATCAACTCATGCCTGTAAACCCAGCACTCTGGGAGGCTGAGGCGGGGGGGATCACCTGATGTCAGGAGTTCGAGACCAGCCTGACCCACATGGAGAAATCTCCTCTCTACTAAAAATAAAAAATTAGCCGGGCGTGTTGGTGCATGCCTGTAATCCCAGCTACTCGGGAGTCTGAGGCAGGAGAATCACTTGAACTAGGGAGGCAGAGGTTGCAGTGAGCTGAGATCCCGCCATTGCACTCCAGCCTGGGCAACAAGAGTGAATCTCCATCTCAAAAGTAAATAAATAAATAAAAATATGCCTTCCAAATATGCCAAATAGATCTTCCTAAGTATCTTCTTTATTGGCGTCAACTTGGAAATTCTTTATTTTAGAAGAGATATCAGAGAAAAATTGCTTCGAATATTGTAAAGGGGGCTTATTAACATTAATAAGAAATGCAGCAGTGACTACAGGATGTCAATCCATAGGTTTATGAAGTGAAAATGAGGTGGGTTACATAAGCTGTTTTGAAAGAATTATCCTGTGCTTGTAGAATCAATACCAAGGGTGGCATCAGTATAAGGCTGAACAGGCAGTCGCTGGACACATATCTTTGTAGAAGGAAGTTTTATATGGTGTTGGTGGCTTCTATCCAAGGTTGTGATTAAGCAGAGTCAATTTATGGTAGTTCTTCTTATCAGGAGTATGTGCATGCGAACCCTCCTTCATGGTCATTCCTAGTTCCATTTGTCAGGGTTTTAACACAAGTGGCTCCATTTTGATTCTGACAACTTTCACACACTATTTATAACGCCACTGGTGAGGAAGGTGACTTTGTGGTAGCTTGCACAGCACAGGACAAATTTCATATCCACATCCCATTTTGTCCACACAAGCTCATCCCCTTCACTACTATTGGCCACTTCCTTTCCCAGGTGAGTCTCCACACAACACACTGGATGGTCTCGTGCAATGAGAGAGAAGAAAGTCCCATCAGCCTCTCCCGTGTGGCTGCAGGAGCCACAGCCTGAGCCCCACCTGAGCTGCAAGGAATGGGCTTGAGCCCTGGAGCTTTGGCAGCAAGAACCACATCCCCACTTTACAGGGAGCAGCAGCAGTACAAGGAAAAGCAAGAATAACAACAACAAATAAAGAGAAACAGAATGTGCTAGGAGTAAAAGGGCCCCAGATCGGCGCTGATACTGATTGGCATGCTTTATTGTTGGTGGAGAAGGGTCAGACATAAAACTTGTGAGGTTCTATCTGACATTGATCTGGCCCAGCCTCTGTCTTGGCTGAGGTTAGGATTCCTGAGACTGTTCTCCTCAGGGAACCCCGCTAAGGTTCCTGTCCCGAATGTGACTGAAGAAGATTCACCAGGTTACCCTCAGCTTCCTCAGGGCTGTGATCCTAGTGACCACTGGCAGAGAGATTGCTCTACATTTAGGGCCTGTGAGAAGGTTTCCTCCTGGTACAACAAAACTGTGGTATTTTAGAGATGTAGAGCTAGACACAGCACCATGAAATAAGAGAGGGTCCCTGGAGGAAACATGAAGATGGTGAGGCAACCCCAGAACCTGGCAGTAAACCAACCTCTCATCTCTACCCCCAACTGCTCTGGGGCTGGCCCTGTGCTTCCTGCAACCTGCTCTTCCCTGGTGGTCTTGAGTCCCCTCTGTGGTCCTGAGTCTTCCTGGCAGTCCTGAGTGCCCTGCCAGCAAGTTTTGTGTCAGGGCTCACAAGGACACCTTCTCATTAAGTCTTTCACAGTAATACTCAGCTGTGTCCTGGGCAGCCATGGAGCTGAGCTTCACAGAGAACTGGCTCTTGGTTGAGTCATTGTTGATGGGGACATGGACCTGGGTGGAGGGAGCATGATGTGTATTCCTTGGTGATCGACTCTAGTAACTGTGCCCCAGCCATTCCAGCCTGTTGCCCAGGGGATGGTGGATTCAGCTCAAATAGTATCCATGGTAAAAAAGAATCCAGACACAGCACATGTGGAGGGCAGTGTCTGAGGGCCTCATGGGTCCTGGACCTGACTCCTGCACCTACACATGGGACAGGACACCTGGAATAAGAGGGAACATCCTGGTGAGTCACACAGAGAGCTCACTTGTCCACATCAACCCTTTTTTAAATTCTAGATGTTCACCCTGCAAAGCTGTCAGCAAAGGAAGAAATATAAGTAGTTGATCTTCTTGAGAGAAAGAATAATGTCTTTCATGGGGAATTTGTTCCTTGGCTGATGACAGAGCGGTATCTGGGGAGGAGAGGGGCTGACAACACCCAGCATTGTTGCTGGGGTGTAAACAGAGTTTGAGGAGAAGTGTGCATGTGCCAGGAGCCCCGCACATATAAGGGGCAGGAACTACGGCGGACCTCTGTCTTGGAACCTCTTCCCAGGCATGATTTTCCTGCTCAGGAGTCAGATGACACAAACTAATTCCTCCTCTGAAAGAGCATCCCTCTGCTGAGTGTCAAGGCATCCATTCTTACCCCAAGGACAGGAAGGCAGGTGACAGAAACAAGCAGGTTTGCTGGACAGAGAGGAAAGGAAAGGGGTAGGAACTGGGGAAAAACCTTGTGCACAAGACCTATGGCCTAAAGTCCCCCTGCCTCTTTTGGGGTCCCACCTGGAGCTGGAGATTCTCCATTGTGAACTTTCCTGGCACAGGAAATTTCTTGAGGGAAAATTGAGGGAAATGTTGAGTGAGTTCTCCTCTTTGCTGAGCACAGAATTCTCACCCTCTCTTGTACGTGGTGTTTTCCCTGTCCGGTTGAGTCACCGCTCCTGGTCCCCTCCCTGCTACTCCCCAGGTTTTGCTTCTTTGCTCATATGCTTATCCTTTTCTAGATTTCTCTTCATGGAGCCCCCATTGTAGCCTTGAGTGACAACATCACCCTAGTTCACAACACCTTAGCATGCCTGAGGACTCCTTTTGTACCACTGTGAACACACACACACACACACACACGCACACCAGTTCCCCACATCCCCTTTCAATTTCATACAGGAAAACTCATGACTGTGTTGGGGAAATCATTTGCATGGGCCATAGGAGACACAATGAGGTATCATCTGTCTCTGAGAATACAGGATCTCCATGTCCAAGGAGGTGAGAGACTGCAGGTGCACAGAAGCCCAAGGTTTCAGGATCTGGGAGAGGAATCACAGGAGACCAAGTACAGCAGGACTGGCCAAGAGGACCAAAGCTCTGATGGTAGACTTTGAATGAGGAGGACAAGGTGAGGCCTGATCTTATGGCCTTTGTCCTTTCTGTTGATGTGATGTGTCACATTGATTGATTTCCATATGTTGGACCATCCTTGAATCACTGGGATAAACTGTACTTGGTCATGATGCATGATTTTTTTAATGTGTTGTTGAATGGTGTTTGCTAAGTTTTCCTTGAGGATTTTCGCTTCTGTATTCATCAGAGACATTGGCTTGTAGTGTTTTTTATGTTTTTATTTGGTTTTCATTTCAGGGTAATACTGGTCTCATAGAGCAGGTTTGAAAGTACTCCCTCCTTCTCTACCTATTTTTTAATATTTTGAGGAGGATAGATATTGTTTCTTCTTTAAATATTTGTCACAATTGCGCAATGAAGCCATTGAGTCCTGGGTTTTTTTTCTTTCCTGGAAGACCTTTTATTAATGCTTCAATTTTGTGACTTGTTATTGCCCTGTTCAGGGGTTGGTTTCCTGCTGGGCAACACCAGAGCCAAAGGGGATCTTGGCTCTAGGCTTTGTGCAGCTAGTATTTTGGCCTTTACCCACTTGTGTGTTTGATGGAATGGAAACAGAGGCCCAGTGTGGAGACATGCAATGACTACTGCCCCAAAGAAGGGCACCCTCCAGAAGTGTCTCTGGTCTCAAAGTTGTGACAGGCTATAGCATTTTGGCTAATGGGATGGGTGGTGGGCAAGGAATACAGATTTTGCTCCTAATCTTGTGCAGTACAGATGCATGAATTCCTTCCAGCTCTCCAAGTTGAGCTCAGGGTTTGCAAGCCCTGTGAATTTATTTTACAGTAAGGATTGTTGACATGTGTGATTGCAGTGGGGTCTGATGTGCTTCTTCTACTTAACTTTCCTCACCAGGGATAATCCCATGTGAATCTCGAGTATGAAGCTGCAGACACAGGGTGCTTTCACTATTAGAAGCACTATTGGGCTTCTAATAACCACAGGGACCTCTCCTCTCCCCTGCTATCCTCTACTTCTCCCTTTCATCAGTCCAGTCTAGTCTTAGCTGTTTATTCAATTCTGTCATTCCGTCATATGGGATTGACGAATGTCAGGCACATCTATTCAGCTGTCATGCTGATTTTTTTTTTAAATTTTAGTTACATATTTATAGCTAACATGGACACTAAAATTGGTAATTCAAATTTATAACAAAATAGATTGAATTATGATTACCTTAGCATCGATAGTGCATACAAATCTGTGTCTCTACAGCTCTATCCATCTTCCCTTACTGTGTTATTACTATATATTAGTATTTTACAAATTATATGTATATTATTTACATGTATAATTAATATTATGGTACTTGATTTTCAAAATAATGGAGGAATGAAACATGAGACTCAGGGCAGAATAAAACACTATTGGCGCTCACATACACAAATGTAATGACATTTCTGGGACACCTTCCTTGTTGCTGTTGTTCTTTTTAGGTGTAAGATTTTCTGCTCCTCTCCACTCTCCTTTCAGTTCAGTCTGTGGGACTCCATATAGCATTTCTCATAAGGACTGTCTAGGTTCCATGAACTCCATCAGCGTTTGTTTCTTTATATTCACCTTAATTTCTCCTTCACTTTTGAAGGTTTCTTTGAAAGTGTATAATTCTTGATTGACAGTGTATTTCAGTCTTTTGATACGCCACCTCAATGAGTTTTTGCCTTCATGAATTTGGTGAGAAATCAGTTGTTTATTTTATGAAGGTTTTATTATAGGCAACGCTTCTTTCTCAGGTTCTGACACTCAAACATACTTGATATTTTCAGACATGTGACACTGAGGTCAAGAGATGAATCTCTGGCGAGGTGGGGTGGCTCATGCCTGTAATCCCAGCACTCTGGGAGGCCAAGGCGGGCAGATTACGAGGTCAAGAGATCAAGACCATCCTGGCCAACATGGTGAAATCCCATCTCTACTAAAAATACAAAAATTAGCTGGGCATGGTGGCACACACCAGTAGTCCCAAATACTCAGGAGGCTGAGGCAGGAGAATCGCTTGAACCCTGGAGGCAGAGGTTGCAGTGAGCTGAGATCACGCCACTGCACTCCAGCCTGGCGAGCAGAGCAAGACTCCATTTAAAAATAAATAAATAAACAAAAGAGCCTGGGCACGGTGGCTCATGCCTGTAATCCTAGCACTTTGGTAGGCCAAGGTGGGAGGATCACCTGAGGTCAAGAGAGACCATTCTGGCCAGCATGGTGAAACCCCATCTCTAAAAAAAGTACAAAAATTAGCTAGGCATGGTGGCACATGCCTGTAATCCCAGCTACTCAGGAGCCTGAGGTGGGAGAATCGCTTGAACCAGAGAGGCAGAGGTTGTGGTGACCCGAGATCATGCCACTGCACTCCAGCCTGGGTAACAAGAGTGAAACTCCAACTCAAAAAAAAAGTCTCTAAAAGCATGCATACTAACAATCCACATGTATATAAACATGCTCACAGACTCACACACACTCTCAACACCTTCATATGTAGAGTCACAGGTAATGACCCCCCCACACACTCAGGGGCACACACTCACCAAGTAATACAAAGAGCACACACACACTCAAATATTCCTGGTCACACTAGCGTCAAATCAACTATATTCACTTCTGAAAGGAAAGTAAATCTTGGGACCCTAAGATCACACCGCTGAAGAGAAAAGTCAAGTTAGAAACTACTAGGGCAAACTTGTCTACTACTCTATTCAAAGTCATCCATCTGCTCACAGAGATAAAAGCATATCTGATTGAGTCTTTTGGAAAAGCTAATCAGAAACTCAAAAGAATGCAACCCTTTGTCTCTCACCTACATATGGAAACCCCCTTCGAGTTTTCACATCTTTCTGGAATGAATCAATGTATTTTTTTTCTTAAGACAGAGTCTTGCTCTGTCACCCAGTCTGGAGTGCAGTGGCACAATCTCGGCTCACTGCAATCTCCACCTCCCAGGTTCAAGCAATTCTCCTGCCTCAGCCTCCCAAGTAGCTGGGACTGCAGGCGTGCATCACCACACCCAGCAAATTTCTGGATTTTCAGTAGAGATGGGGTTTCACCATGTTGACCAGGCTGGTGTCGAATTCCTGACATCAAATGATCTGCCCACCTTGGCCTCCCAAAGTGCTGGGATTACAGGCATGAGCCACTGCACCAGGCCAACCAATGTACATCTTACACATATTGTTTGATGTCTCATGTCTTCCTAAAACGTATAAAACCAAGCTGTGTCCTGACCACCTTGGGCTCATGTCATCAGAACCTCCCGAGGCTGTGTCATAGGTGTGTGTCTTTAACTTTGGCAAAACAAACTTCTTAAATTGCCTGACACCTATCTCAGATACTTTGTATTCACCTAGTCAAGTATGCAACTCACACGTACTAAGGAAAATTAACATTCATGCAAATTGATAGGCTCAAATATTGAAGAACGCACTCACACACACTCAAAATAGCATACGCTTTTACAAACTAACTCACAGAAACACACAAACACGTTCTCCCACACACTTGGTCGAAGATATAGTGTAACAATCACAAAGTAAGTAACTCATTTTAATATAAAACACAGGCACACACAAGCTCACACCCTCACACAAACACACACATTCACAAACACACAGACACAGTTGTATGCATCATCCCACTTACACACAATGTTCTATAGTGACACACAGACAAACATTGAGACTATTCCATGACCAGGGGCTTGAGACAGTAGCTGTCTCAGTCTCCATGGACGTCACACTGTCTCAGAGGCTCAAGGTTTGCTTTCCACTACAGCAGGTAACCCTGAAATTTCCCTAGATGTTAATGATTGTGTCTTCCCTTCCACCATCTAGATTCTCCTCAGAGATGGCCAGGACTCCAGAGTTCAGGTTCTCACATGTTGTGTGGCTTTTGGGCTAAAACACACCTGAAACACTGAGTGGCTGTTGTCCTTGATCACTTGATCATCATCTGCATTTTGGTTGATGCATTTTTTACCTCATTGGAATAAAATAAAACAAATTAATTGACTCTACCTGGGCCAAATGGACTTCTTTCTGTTTCTCTTGGTAGCTGCAAATGTAGCCCCAAATATGACAGGATCCAGTAAGCACTGCAGCTCTTAAAACACTTTCTTGGTCAGCTGGTCTAACAGCATAAGGACCTCAGGAGAACAATTATATTATGGGTGTAATTCTGTACCCACTGCAGACCAGTTTATTTTTATAGACCAGCAGCTCCAGTCTATCACAACCTATGATTATCCAGATGGAAGGAAACAGTCTTCAAATTTTTATGACAGATGCGGAAAGATAAACTGATATTTCTGTCATTTGTTTTCTAGGCCCAGGTCTTGTAGCTCCTGGCCACGGGGCACTGTGGTGCTCTCTGATTTGGGGCGTTTGAAGGATACTGGAAAATAGTATTGTCCTCAAAACGGACTTTCTTTAGAGACTAATTTTTCTACTATGAAACAGTGGCATAAAACATCTGGTATAATACTCGTATGGGACTGGAGAGACTGAAGTCAATTCTCCCATTGTTCTCCTGGGTCTCTGTCTGGGCAACTGTGAAAAGACAAAGCACTGCTGGATCCCTGCTCATGTTCTTACGATCACATCTCCTATCCCTAACAACAGCTACATTCCTTTGTGTCAGACCATAATATGCAGTCTCTCATACTGGGAAATAAGATATCCAGAACTTGGACAGTGGCGTTAGCAGGTTCTCTATGGAAAAAAAAAGAAACAACAAAACCTAAAAACATCCCATGTGAAGATAGGAGTCAGTTTCTCATTATAAATTACTACCTATCAAGTTTGGGCTTTATCTAAATTATTCAAATTGTCCCCATATGGCTGGTGGATATCCTTAAAGGGTGTCGTTTTTTTGTTAGACAAATGTGATATCTATCACTATCAGCTCAGGCACTCGCTGAGAGGTTCTAGGTTAGTCTGGTGGAAGGTATCTGTGCTGAGTCTTCATTGTACATGTTAGGGAAAGTTTTGATATAAAGAGAGAGGACACTATAACTTGCGTAGCAGTATTAATTAAACTGAAGAAGATAATCATACTATGAGTTCCCCATACTCACTTACCCAGGATAATGGATTTCCCTTTTCCTCAGCTGTTGGCTTACTTACCTTAAATATTACAGCATTTACTTTTGTTTACAATGTTTTTTTTATCTTAGGTTATTGCCTGATTAAAGTAAGCACAAGTAAAATTTAAAATTAACAATCAATCACCTGTAGAAATAACAAAAAATGGGCTTGGTGAAATTTAAGGAGCGATGCCAGAATTAAACAAATAAAGAAACACATTGTGTAAGTTAGAGTGGTCAGTGAGGAGTGAAATGATGAGAAGCTGGTGCTGAACGATATATGAAGAACGTCAAATACACTTGATATTCAGAATGCTGGTCACAACAGTGAAAAATCTGTAGAGTGGTCTGCGCAGATAAGAAATTAGAAAGTGAGAAAGTCACAAACTTTCAACAGCAGGAGACATGCAATATATTCAGTATTCAGCTCTCTCTGTCCTCTAGGAAAAATAGGTTATAACTGCATGGAAAATGAGACAAGTAGTTTTTAAGATAATTCTCGAGAAAAGTTGCTAATAAAGTTATTCAGATGATGTTCCGACACAGGATTGTGGAGGGGACGTTGACCCGTGGTTGTCACTGTCAGCTATACGGGATGGTCAACTTGGTGGTCTCCTTTGCCAATTTTTTGTCCACAAGAGAGATTACGCTGTCATGTGCTATGTTGCAGATGAGTTTCTTAACCTCACACCATGAGAGGAACATGAGAACAAAGAAGATGAGAAAACTGAAGACCACACTACATCACCTACATTCCACTGATGAGAACTCGTCACACAGAGGCCCAGGGATGAGCAGGGAAGACAAAGGGGCTGGGAAATATCATCCACAAAGGGACACCTCCAGGCTGCTTGACCTCCCCATGCAAGGAGAGGTGAAATGTTTGTTCTCAGCTAATGGTGGCTATGTCAGGACCTCCACAAGCTTTGAGAAATACAGATTTGTATGAACAAATGCCCATACTTTATTCAGAGGGAATATTTTACTCATAATTTATTTCCTCTCCCTAGCAAGCACCGCAGAAGGATGTTTCCATGATTCTCCCTAATCCTTCCTCAGTTCCTGGTGCAGTTCCTGGAGGAAAAGCCTGCATGGGGGAGGGAGCCCTCCTCATGTGCAGCCCTGAGGCTGTGCCATCACCTCACCTACTATTGCCCTTCAGTCAGTTTTTAAACATTCCAAACTAATTTTCCTGAAATGTGTAGTATTTGGCAGTGTCTTTCCCAGATAAGAAAATACTTAAGTTCTGTTTATCCCTGCAGGCGCATATCCATTTCTGGAAGTCAGGTGGTTTTTGAATGTTTAGTAGTGGATAATTAGTGGGAGGAGGTTTGTGTGCATCTTGTCATCTTCCAGAGTGCACCCCAATATGGCATTGACACTGGCAAGCAAGCAGATGGGCTTGTTCAGCTGGAGAATGGCAGACATTGTTATAACCTGTGACCCCAATGAGGCTCTCCCTCTACAAGCCCAATCAGGCTCATGCCTCTTGACAACGTGCAGCCAGCACAGGACACCAGTGTCCACCTCAGTGAGGGGCCTTCCAGGTGCCCACCTTCTTCCTAAGGGGGAGCTTTTGTCCCTGCCTGGATCCCACGCATGTGCTTGCATTTGCTGCAAAAAGGGATTCATCCGTAAACACACCCCACGAGCCTACAGTGTAAGTAATCCATCTACAGGGCCTCATACATGACATCTCTCATGGCCAAGGTCTCCATTTCTCATTAAAGAACATTCATTGTAGAATTCACTAGAACTTGCTGGACTTTTAGAGGCATGGATAGGAATAACCTTACCCACTTTCCCTCTAATATCATTCCTAGAAACCCTCTGAAAATACCTCTGGTGCTCCAAGATAATTTATGTTTGTTACACCACGGGATCACCAGGAAAAGAAAGAACCAAAGTGTCCATGTAGGTTCATCATTTGTAACTTGCTGATATGACTCTGGTGCAGGATGCAGATAGTGGAGAAGGCTGTGCCTGTGTTGGACGGGGATTCATGGGAGCTCTGGTACTTTCTGTTCAAGTTCACTGTTATCCTAAAACCACTCTAAAATAAAATTTATGCAACAACAGTAGCAGAGACATTCTTGGAAGACATTTTGGACATTTTTCAGAATCATACTTAGTCTTACCATGTGATCAAATAATCTTGCTCAAATTATTCATCCATCTAATTTGAAAACTTGTTCACAATAATATACTCATTGATATGATTTTATTGATATGGTTTGACTGTATCCCCACCCAAATCTCTTCTTGAGTTTTAATAATTCCAATGTGTTAAGGGTGGGGTCAGGTGGATGTAATTGAATCATGGGGGCGGTTTCCCCCATACTGTTCTCGTGGTAGTGAATATGTCTCATGAGATCTGACAGTTTTATAAACAGGAGTTCCCCTGGCACAAGGTCTCTCTTGCCTGCTGCCATGTAAGACATCAGTTTACTCTTTCTTCATCTTCTTCCATGATTATGAGACCACCCCAGCCATGTGGAATTATGATTCCATTAAACCACTTTTCTTTATAAATTATTCCATCTCAGGTACGTCTTTATTAGCAGCATGATAATGGACTAATACAGGGCCTTTACTAATCTTTGAATTTTCTGTATACGGTGACTCTTGAATAAAATATTTATCATAAAATTAGAGTGTGTCCTTGTTTCTATTGATCCTTGTCCTCAGTTACTTGACCCATTTTCTAAACAACTTTAAACCTCATCTTCCCTGTCATCTCCTCTGCAGGAACACAGCTGCCTCCTCCCTGCAGTTTCTGAAACTCTCAAGATGTGGGTTTTCACATTGTGTCTCTCACACAGTAATACATGGCCGTGTCCTCAGATCTCAGACTGCTTAGCTCCATGTAGGCTGTGCTCATGGATGTGTCCCTGGTTATGGTGACTCTGGCCTGGAACTTCTGTGCATAGCTTGTGCTGCCATCACTAGGGCACACCAATCCCATCCACTCAAGCCCTTGTGCATGGACCTGGTGCACCCAGTGCATACAGTAGCTGGTGATGGTGTATCCAGAAGCCTTGCAGGAGACCTTCACTGAGGCCCCAGGCTTCTTCACCTCAGCCCCAGACTGCACCAGCTGTACCTGGGACTGGGCACCTGTGGAGAGGACACAGGAGTGGATAAAACCCTCTTTTACTGGACCCAGTCACCTTAGTCCTGGGGACTGAGAATTATCCTACCCGCAGCTATGACCACCAAAAACAGGATCCTCCAATTCCAGTCCATGGTAAGGAGCTGTGCTCTCAGGGGCTTCTCTAGAGGACATGGCTGGTTATTGGGTAATGCTCTCAGGGCACAGACATATCTGTAGTGTTCATCTCAGGTGATTTGCATATTCACGAGAACTACTACTTCATAGCCTTACACTTGATCCAGCATGAGAAAGAGAAAATAGATCTCACATGAACCACACAACTGTGGGATGCTGAGGTACAAGTCCTCATTCTTATTTAAAGTCGTGTTTCCCTTTATATGCCCAGAACTTTGTGAAGGGAGAACTTCTCCACTAAGAAGGTGACTCACACAGGACATGGCACATGGACAGCCTCCACCCTTTCGGGGTTTTGCTGTCTGCAGTCTTACTCTTGGGATCTATGTGTCTTCTGAAATGTGTACCTTTTGATTTAATAAAACCATCCCTGTTCTTCATTTTTTACTAGGAAAATACCTCAAACCGCTAACAATTTTGCCTTTTAAATGTGGTTCTCACTGAATTGTTGATTTATTTATTTCTAAATGTATAGAGATAATAGAAATAGTCTTTGCAAAATTCTAATTTTAACATGTTATAATTTTTTGGTTTTCAATAAAACAACACTCAGTTCTCAGAGAAATCCCCGCTGCAGCCTCATGTGCACCAGCTCTGGGGCTGGAGCCTGTTCTGGGTGGGTCCTGGGCGCCCTCTGCAGCACTGTCTCTGCTCTGCATGGAGGTTTCCATCTGGGCTCACAGAGGATTTATCTCTCAGTGTTTCTAGGGCTATAGGAAGAGGTCATGCCCTAGTTTAAAATGCTCCTTCAGTGACACCATATGTTACTGACACAATCTTTTGAAAACATTGACCTTAGAAGACCCAGTGAACTCTAAGAAACCATCAGGGAGCCCTTCCCTGGAGCTCAGGATGCATTTAATTAGTGGACACATAGTGAGCACAAAAATTTTGAAGGGTTTTGGGGGATGCTCTATCTTGTTTGGTCTTCTGCAATTGAATATTACATCTAAGAATACCTGTAGGCATATATACTTGTGGATCAATGCCCACTCCATGTCTTCTTTTTCAATAACACACACACACACACACACACACACACACACACACAGAACTAGTTGATTTGTACAACAGTGGGCCTCTAACTTGCCATTTTTTCTAGTATCTTGCAAATGGGGAGCACCCCCTACATGGATACTAGACCTGAGTATATGACTTCCTTCTCCAAACAGAAGTAACGAAAACAGTACACAATTGGAGACGTAGCAAGTGTACATTCATCATGTTTGTATATTTTCACCTGAGAATACTGGAGTTTCCCTAAGAGAAGT